>NC_000001.11:239214424-239365939 GCF_000001405.40 Homo sapiens | reverse complement strand
CATCTTAAAACTTTTGAGAAAAGCCTCTAACATGAAAAGAGAAAAAGCAACCAATGATAAACAGGGAGCTGAGAAGGAGCAGAGGCAATGTTGAAGGCAAAAACAGCTTCGAAGAAACTGCACTTAATATACTCAGAGACATAAGAAGATAGTGGACCCATTAAAGAAGAGCAGAATGCTATGAAGAAGGAATGGATATTAAAGTAAGAGCTATAGGACATGAAAAATACTGTAGCAAAACAATTTTAAACAAAAGCAAGAGTTTTCCTTTCCACAGTCAAGGAAAACTCCTAGAAGGTAGAAGATATAGGCAAACACATGGATTGTAAGAAATAAAGGTATGGCCATTTTAGGAACAATTAAGGCAATGTCCAAATAATAGAGATTCCAGAATGAGAGAAAATAGACACTAGAGAGGAGGAAATCATCAAAGCAATAATACCTATATGGTTTGGCTGTATCCCCACCCAATTCTCATCTCGAACTGTAGTTCCCATAATTACCTCCCACCAGGGATTTGGTGGGAGGTAATTGAATCATGGGAGAAGTTACCTCCATTCTGTTCTTGTGTTAGTGAATGAGTTTTCATGAGATCTGTTGGTTTTATAAGGGGCTTTTCCCCACCTTCACGCTGCAGTTCTCCTTGCTGCCACCATGTGAAGAAGGACGTGTTTGCTTCCCCTTCTGCCATGATTGTAAGTTTCCTGAGGCCTCCCCAGCCATGCTGAACTGTGAATCAATTAATTTTTTCCTTTATAAATAACGAGTCTTGGATATGTCTTTATTAGCAGTGTGGGAATGGACTAATACAGTACAAATGAAAATTCACCAAAATAGGGACATGAGTCTGCAGATTGAAGGGAATCTGTGGGTGTTCAGAATAATGAATTAAACAAAAGACTTAACCAAGTCACATTTTGGGAGGATTCAAAATATTAGATCATGAAAGTTCCAAGAGTTAAAGGACAGGTCTTATGCAAAGGATCACAGCTAAAATGGGCACCAAACTTTTCTGTAACAGCATTTGAAACTAGAACACACCAGATTAATGAATTTAAAATTGTGTGTCCAAGTGTTACAAATTTGGGGGTGTAGCTCAGTGGCAGAGCGTTTGACTGCACAAATGTGAAAAGTTGGTATGAGAGGGGGTTTGCAAACACACACACACACACACACACACACACACACACACACACACACACACAGGGGAAGGTGGGGAGAAAAATACCCTCCTATATCTGTACTCATCTACTCAGTCTTATCTTCAGATGTAGTAGGAGAAGCATCAGAACCTTATCAAAGGCCAATCCTGCATTTGAGGTCTGAATCCCATTCCAATTAGTTTACTCTAGAACCCTTTGTCTACAATGATTCTGTTTCTCTACTGCATCATTTTTCTTCCGCTTTACTGAATAATCCCCCTTAGCACACAGATAAGCTCTAATCAGTCTTAAATTCAAAAAACTTACAGTGTGTCTCCAGCTCTTATTCCCTTTATCTGCCCACAGCAAATCTTCAAAGATCTGCTAAGTTCTATTTTTTTATTTCCAATTTTATTAGCTCCCATTTACTCTTCAATATACTTTAGTTGGACTGGCATTGCTACCACCATCACAAATTGCTCTTATCAAGATTATCAACTATCTCCATATTGCCAGATGCGATGACCAGGTCTCTGTTCACATCTTCCTTGCCTGCTGAACAGTACTTGACATCGTAAACCGCTCTCTGGTCTTTGAAACAAGTTATTTGGTTGACTTCTGCGATACCACCAAGCACTTACTTTCTCGCAATTACTAGGTTCCTCTTTCTTGGTCTATTTCTCCTCCTCTGCATGACTTCCCTATTGAAGAGCTTACTCAGATGTTCAACAGACATCTCAACATATTTCCAAAATAGTACCCTTGTTTCTCCTGCTCTCAAGTACACTCCCATCCCAGTCTTCTCCATCCCATAGAATGGCCCCCAACCATCCATTTACTCATAATGACAACTAAAATCATCCCTGTTTTCTATATCTCAGGTTGCAGTGAGTCGTGATTACACCACTGCACTCCAGCCTGGGTGACGGGAGTGAGGCCCTGTCTTAAAACAGCAACAACAACAAAACAACCAAAAAACGGTAATTCATATTGTAACGCCTCTTTAGAATCTTTTAAATATTTCTCATTCTGCTTAAACCGAGACTTCTGACTATGACATACAAGGCTTTAAGTTAAGCCACATACATAATGTAACATTTTCTAATAAGCACTTTAGAAAAAGTAAAACAAGTGAATTAATAGTAATAATATTTTAATTTAATCCAATGTATCTCTAAATTATCATTACAATACATAATCCATATAAAATTATTAATGAGATATACTGTATACTTTCTTTATACTAGATCTTCAGAATCCAGTCTACATTTGTGTTTGACACCCGGAGTGCACCTCAATTCAGAGTAGCTTGACTTCAGGTGCTCAGTAGCTACATGTGCCCAGTGGATCCTGTATTGGACAGTACAGCTATATGTGGCTTAGGCCTTAATACTTCTCCCACCTCAGCTATCGGTCTCCATATTTTTTATCATACTCTAATCAAACTGACTTTCCTTCTAATCCTCAAGTATGCCAAGCTTATTCCCACCCTAGGTCTTTGCACAATCATTGCCTCTGTATAGATTTCAATTCCCCAGAGCATCTCACGAGTGGCTCCTTCTTATCATTCAGGTATCAGCTCAAATGCAACATGTTTGCAAAGGCCTCACCTTACTCTTCAATGTAAAGTAGCATTCCTTCCCCTAGGACATCTGAGTCCCATTAATCATGTTTGACATTTTCATGGAACTTATGTGTTTCATTTTTACCTGCACCATTATAATGCTATCTTGAGTATGTGGGCTTTATGTAGCTTGTTTGCAGAGCTTAGAATAGTTCCTGGAATATTTGCTGAATGAATGAATGAAATAATAAATGAAAGAATGCAGAGATAGTCATTAAAATGTTAACAGTAGTAATACAAAGAGTAGAATGTATTTCATTGCATTGGAATTTATAAAACACAATAACAATAAAAGGTTTTGTAATAAACTAACAAAAATACTGTGAAAAGACTGTTGTTGGGTTATGTGAACAGTCAACAGTATCAAAAAGATACCCTTGCTGGTGAAGTGAATGCAGTTCCCTCCAAACAAGAGATGTAACTAATTTGTAATATACATTCAATGGAATGTTTTTACGCTTGATCCTGAGCTAACCAAGAGTATAGTTTATCCCAAAGGTTGCAGTGGATGGATATTGCTTATTACTTGACTCTATTCTTCTTGACATTTGGCATGGGACCAAATTATAGCACTCACGTGTGTGTGTGTGTGTGTGTGTGTGTGTGTGGGTTGCATACACAATTTCTTTAGGAGGTATGGTAGAAAGTACTTGAGGTTACAAATAGCCTTTGCTTTAACCCTAACTTTGTACCTGAATATGGTGATATCCAAATGTTTGATTGTTCCAGGCTAATAGTTGTCATTTCCCAATCTGGGAAGATTGGAAGATTCTTGAAAGCATGTATTCTTATTCTGGCAGCCCAGGAATCTGCATTTCTAAAAGTTCATTCCAGGAGACTCTGCTGTCCTTAGTTGTGGAACATTGCCTAAAGTCAATGATCCATTCCCTTTTGCAGTGCAAGTTCTCCTGAGGAGAATACAGTGAACTACTGTGAGCTACTAACCACTTAGAGGATGATATTTTCAGATCTTTTCTAATTGGCAGCTTGCTGAAAGCAGAGTGTAAAGAGAAAACGTTAAAGATTTTTGTAGAATTCAAGAGATGCCTGGAGAAAGAGTCTGTTATAATGGAATTCCTGGAGTGCTAGGGCTCAGGTAGCATTAGAAGACAGGACATGACCAGCCTGCACGAAGATGGAAAGACACTGAAGAGAAGCAGTGCCCACTGCACAATTTTACCAAAACGTGTAATTAAACTGGGAGAAAAAAAAAAAACCTTAGACATAAACACACATTCAAATTCAAAGAAGAATGAAGAAAAATATTAGTAGTTTGGAGCATAGACTTACAGGTAGCACAATCCCTAGACCCCTGATAAAAACTGGTTTTAGAGACTTACATAGCTGAGATGCAAAAAGATGAATTGTTGGGCATGTAACTCCAGCAGCTAACAGTGCTGAGAAATGAAGCTTGAATCAGGGCTCGTAAGGACTCTGAGTCACCTGGCTATTAGCCTAAAGTGGAATCAAGAAACTATTCTGTCTTGTCTTTCCCTCTAAGCTTTAGATTTAGTGAGCCAGTTTACACCTACTGCAGATGAATCATCCTTCTAAATGACCCTGCTAAATCATATGCAGTTAATTATAAAGATTTTAGTGCTATGTTTTGTGCGTGGGTTGCAGAATACCATTGCCAGACCACATCCTCAATAAAACCTTGAACTGCCATCACGCCACGAATAAAAGAGTGAATTCTTCATTCCCCATAGCTTCAGAGGGGGAAAAAAGTGATAGACTCTCATATCAGGATGCAGCTCTGCTCCAGCCCTGCATCTTTCTCTGTACACAGCTAACCCAGACCTCCATGCGGGTCTCTTATGTATTGTTACTTGGATAATTTGTATCTTTGTAGATGAGTGTGTTCATGGAAATAGCATAAATATCCCGTTAAAAGGTAAGTAAATCTAATATCAGCAAAACAGCATTGTATGGGGGGAAATATGGGTCTGTGTGGCCAGATGATTTGAAGAGCAAATTATTATTTTAAGTAACACATTCATTAACCAAGAGAGCCAAGCAAAGGCGTGCAGTGTCTTCAGCATTTGTTCCAGAATAGAAACGATTCTCTTTTTCCATATCATAGGGAATAAATGTTATCAGAGTACAGGCTTTTCAGTATGACATATCTGAAAGTTCTGATTAGCTTTAAAAAAAGTAATATTTGTGTTTAAAAAATAACTGCTGGTCATAAATTACTTTCCAAATCAAGAATTCACATTACATATATCAGATTTGCAATTATTTCAATTTACATTTATCAAAATGTACTACTGCATTAACTTAATGGGGGAAAAAATGCTTTTTATGCTATTTCCTAGGCAGGAAACATTTTAACCTGGCTTAGTGCATGTTTTTTAAAAGCCTTTTTAATGCAAAAATAAGTGTATTTTTTCCCACTTAACTATAGTCTAAAATCTAGAGTTTTAACAGCAATCACAAACATTTCTTAATTATGGGAAGGAAACGTATGAAGTTATAAGCCAATAAAGCCAATTTTAAGATATTTATGTGAAAGAAGCAACATAAAATATATTAAAATTCTAATACTTTACTGGTCATAGAACAGAATGTAAACTGCAGAACTTTTCTCCCAGAATTGCTGAATTTTTAGTGTACCCTCAAATTTATTTTAGTTGAATTTTAAAAATTTACTTATTACATGTTTTGCAGAAAATAGTGCATTTCAATGTGACATGATTTAATAATATATAGGGACAAAGAGAAAAAATCCTCTATCTCATCAACCCTCAAAGGCTACATAATACTCATTTGTTTGATGAAGAATTTGTTTGAACAAACCCCAAAGTGTTAACTAGTTCTCACCCAACTATTAGCCTTTACAATCAATGTTATAATCAAAACTTTTGTTCAGGTATTGTTGACACTTATCTGAGTAGTCCAAAAAGTTTCTACTACTTTCTAGTGCCATTAAGAATAATATTTCTAAATACCATCTTTTCTCCCACTTCTCAATAAACAGGTCAATAAATAAACACATATAAACTTCTGTATTATTATTATTATTTAATTGCTAGTCAAAGTGAATGTTTTCATGTATTTATTATTCATATTTATTAGCTATTAATTTATTAGCTCATTCTTTAGCCTATTTTAAAAAAAATACAAATATATTTTTTGAACTTCAAGTGCATTGAGTTGAGCTAATTATACTCATCATCACGAAAGAACGTAATTATCAGTGATCTCTGAAAAGTCCAATCCTGTTTTGTTCTTTGTTTCTTGTTTATATTTGTTGATACATCCATGTCCCCCCTTCCATCTCTCATCTCCCCCTACACAATTCCCTGTACATTTTAAACTACTTACTGTACAGTTTTTGTTCGCATGTGTTCTTGTACATATGTTGTTCTTTTGCACACACACGTACTTAGCTCACTTAAATGGCTATGTTTAGAACTTATTCTATTTTATAATTTTCTCATTTATCACAATGCTTTGTAAAATATTAATCCATATTGCTTGGTGTATATCTAGTAATTGTTTCTTCTAACGTTTGCAAAATATTACATGCTATTTACTCATCATAATTTCCATTTCTAATATCCCGGGGATGAGCACCCAGATTCACCCTAACAGTCCATTTGTGCAAAAAATATAGTAATCTTTGGTAAATTAAACCCAGGAATGAATGTAATTGCTGTGCTATTGGGTAGACTTACACATTTTTGATTGGGCACAGCTTGATATGTTGCAAAATTTCTTTTATTTTGTGATTTATATATGTGTGTATGTATTATGTAATCAAATCTATCAATTTGTTCATAATTCTTTCTGGCCTTGGCATCACAGTTAGAAAGCCCTCCCAATTCATTAAACATTCATCATTTGCCTATGTGATTTATTTTATTAAATTTATAACTGTCTCAATTTAAAATTTATTTTGCTAAAAAGAGAAGGTGTGGATTTCACGTAATCTTTTTCACGTTTAACCAATGTATCAACTTGATTCATTGAATAAACATTTCTTGCTGCACAGAATTGAAATATTAGATTGGTGTAAAAGCATTACTTTTAAAAGCAATTAAAAGCAATGGCAAAAACCACAATTGATTTTGCACCGACCAAATAAACTCATTTAACTCTGAATTCTATTTAAATCTTCTCTGGACTTGCTATTCACATTTATTAATCATTTTATTCTCATGCATATATAATACTTTTCAATAAACTTAGAGTTATTATATGGTTTATTGTCTAGTTAATCAGGATAAATTTTTCTTAACTAAACTTTAGAAATAGTACCTGTTTCTCTTTTTTTTTTGAGAGGAGATCTCACTCTATCACCCAAGCCGGAGTGCAGTGGCATGATCATAGCTCACTGCAGTCTTGAATTCCTGGGCTCAAGTGATCCTCTTGCCTCAGCCTGCTGATTAGCTAGGGCTATGGACATACATCACCACATCTTGCTAAATTATTTTTAGTTTTTGTAGAGATGGGATATCGCTATGTTGCCCAGGCTGGTCTCAAACTTCCAGCTTCAAGCTATCATATTGCCTCAGCCTCCTAAAGTATTAGGATTACAGGCATGAGCCACTGTACCTGACCCCTGCTTCTTGTTTTAAAAAATGAAAGTACAATATGTAGAAAGAAATACTCTCCACCTCCTCCTCATAATTTCTTACTTCCCATAGCTTACTAATTGTTAACATTTTCATGTCTATACATCAATAATTTTTTTGGTCTCATATGAGCATATCTTTTTTCTGTTTAAGTTCAATTCTAATATACACACAATTCTACCATCTTCACTTTAAAATATATCATGGACATGTTTTAAAATTTTTTATAAATAAGAATTTTATCAGTTATAGTCACACTATGCTTCAGTAGTAGATAATAAATCATTTCCAAATTTCAGTGATTTGGACATAAAAGGTTTACTTCTTGCTCAACTACATGTTTCTTTAGGCTGCCTGGGACTTTGCTCCACATTGTCCTTAGGGCAACAAGCAAGTTACCTCTATGCCAAGGGGAAAGAAAACACAGATAATGCATACGCTCCACGACTTTCACCCAACATAGCAGCTCTCATTTATTGGGCAAAGCAAGATACATGGTTGAATCTGGAGGATATCAGACTAAGTAAAATAAGCCAGGCACAGGAAGACAAATACCACATGGTCTCATTTATATGTGAAATCTAATAAAGTTGAATTTATAAAAGTGGAGAGTAGAACTATGGTTACCAGAGGCTGGGAGTGGGCTGGGGAGGGAGGGGAGGAATGGGATGTTTTGACCAAATAATACAAAGATCTTATGAAGTTTCTGATAGACAGGGGATTGGAGAGTTGTTAATCAAAGGGCACAGAGTTTAAGACAGGGGGAATAAGTTTTGATATTTATTGCACACTACGGGGAATGTAGTCAATAATAACGTGTTATAGATTTCAAGTTAACCAACTAATAACATATTATATATTTTGAATGTCTCATCATGACAAACAATAGGTAAGTGAACAATAGGTGATGGATATGTGAATCAGCTTTATTTAATCATGCCACATTTTATACGTGTGTCAATACACTGCATTGTATCCCATATGTATATACTGCTACAACTTATCAATAAAAAATTAAAACATAAAAACAGAATGCTAAAGATCTAGAAAGAAAGACAATCTTCAAGCTTAAACCAACATTACTGATTACTGTGAAAATTTCAGGACATATATGTAGCCGTAAATAGGTGTGATTGGGAGAGACTAGATGGAACTAGAATCTATAAGAGGAGGTTAAGAAGAAATTCACAACACAGTCAAAGAAATTCTGAGACCTTGAGGCCATGAAAAGCATCCAAGTGAAAGGCAAAGCTACGGAGAGAGTTAAAACCTCAGCCAGGGGCAGTGGCTTAGGCCTGTAATCCCAGCACTTTGGGAGGCCGAGGTGGGCAGATCACTTGAGGTCAGGTGTTCGAGACCAGCCTGGCCAACATGGTGAAACCCCATCTCTACTAAAAATACAAAAATTAGCTGGGCGTGGTGGTGTGCGCCTGTACTCCCAGCTACTTGGGAGGCTGAGGCAAGAGAATCTCTTGAACTCGGGAGGTGGAGTTTGCAGTGAGCCGAGGTCGTAGCACTGCACTCCAGCCTGAACCATAGAGCAAGACTCTGCAGCGAGACTCTGTCTCAAAAAAAAAAAAAAAAAGAAAAAAAAAAAGAAAGAAGAAGAAAAAAAAGAAAGATCCATGGTGGGAGCGGTAGTGGCAAATGATAGGTGGAGCACAGGTGACTGATTTCTAGGGCAGTGAAATGGTTCTGCATGGTGCTGTGACAGTGGATACATGGCATTATACATATGTCAAAACTCATAAAATGTACAACACCAAGAGTGAGCCCTAGGGTCCACTGTGGACTTTAGTTAATAATTATGTGTCAATATAATATATAACGAGCGTGCTACATTACCAAAATATGTTAATAATAGGGGAAACTTTTTTCAGGGAGAGGGTATAAGGTATTTCTGTACTTTCTTTTAATTTGAAACTGTAAACCTAAAAATGCTTTGTAAAAAGTCTATTAATTAAAAAGATAAAAATTAGAAACTGGATAGTTCTAAATTTCTCTAAAAGACAACTTCCTCAAGTTTATGGTGCATTTGCATTTCAATACACTTTTTTATGTTCCTGTAATCCCTCTTTTAGGCTTATGTCTCTTAATTAGAGCTGAGCCAATTAAACCAAATTTATTGGAACGGATAGTAACCAGGAATTCATTTCTATATTGTATTCTTCTGTCATCTTTTCCTATCACAAAGGGAATGAAGTGGTTAACTGATTTGGGGAATTTCTTCTTGATTAGTTCTTCAGAGCGGGTCTATTCAAGGTCCTCTTTGCGATCATTATGCTCTCAAATGAAACGGATTCAAAACCTGTGCAGACACTGAAGACCCAATGTGACTCTAGACCTTTCTCAACTGCTGTAAAGGAGTGACAGTTGGCTGTAAAGAAATTCCATACGTGACACATCAGTCAGAGTTACTGGATATACTAATTTAATGAGATGAGCTTTCAATGAATTAGAGTGTGTGTGTGTGTGTGTGTGTGTGTGCCCTTAAAGGTCTTGATATATTTTTTAAAAGAATAAAAGATAAACTTTCATTGTGACACATTTATGAAGTGTTTATATTATTCTATTTTATTATTTTACAAACACCTCTTGCAGGGATTATTAAATATTGACTCATTGAATTAATCTCTTGATGGCGTCACTCTTCTTACCTGAGCTGAAAGCAGCGGTGGTTCTCCAGCACCACATTTTGTATACAGCTACATCAGGTCCCTGAAATGCCACCTTCTGTCACTCTTCTGTGCTGTCCCATATCCAGCACCTTCTATGTGTAGTATCATTTCTTCTTCACTGCTTAGGACCAGCCTCTTATCCTTCAGGCCGCAGTTAAATGTTAAATTCCTCTGTGTAATTTTCCATAACTCTACAGACATTTATTCTCATGCTCCCATATTGCTTTATAGGTATCTTTATTCTAATGCTTACAATGTCCATGGTTTTATTTCTCTATGATTTTGGGGAGTTTGGGGTCCCTCAAAGCAGAACCTGCATCTTAATCATGTTTGTATCTTCAGTGCCAAACCCTGGGTCATTCCATAAATGCTATCATTGATTGAAATCCAAGTTCCTTTGGGGCTAGAATGAAGGGAGTCCAGGAGACAGAGATTCCTGAACACTTGTTGGTAGGCAATTTACTCCATCCTTAATGGTAGGTGAATGCGAAGGCATTTTACTCTGTCCTTCATCCACCTTCACGCCTTCCTCCAGTAGGAGTGTCACTTTGCTACCTAAGGCTAGAGTCTTATGGCACATTAAAATGATGATGACATGATCCATTCAGATTATTCCTCCCATTGGATGACCTTAGTGATGACACTGTAAAAGTGCTTTATTATGGAAGTGGATTGGAAGCCAACTCTGTCATCTCTCTCCCTTCTTCCTTATACTGTCCAGGTGGTAAGAGTGTCAGCAACCAGCATGAGGCATCACTCTTTCCTTCAAATGGCACCTGGATCCAGTTGAAGAAAATAGTAAAAGGCCAGGTCGGACGCCTAAAACAAAATTGATTGACGCCATCTAAATTGATGTAGCATTATCCATCAGTGTAAACTGAGACCCTTTTCACTGCAAACCTATCTGTGGGAAGAGGGTAGATGTTCCAAGTGCAACCATGAGGACTTGGAGAGGTATAGGCTGCAAACCTGGAAAGAGCACAGTAGACTACATGTTTAATTCACATTTCCCAAAGTTTTGCCCAAGAAACACCTTTATTATAAATACTAAAGGTGTTTTCAAAAATTAAGAGCTTTTGGGAAGAAAGATAAAGGGGTCAGGAATCTTCATTTGTGAAAATATGGCTCCTAGATAATTCTTTTGCCTACATAAGTCTCAAAAGTATTCTTGTCTAGTCTCCCAGCTGGCATTTTTTAAAAGATGTAAATGGCAGTTCTCAGACTGCCTTAAATATTTTTGAGAAAACACATTCTCTCCCCTAGGAGGGTTGAGTTTTTATAACTTTAACCTGTTATGTCCTTCTCACTGATGTCACAGGATTGTTTTTCTTTTCCATCAGTAAACTAGGTCTTTCCTTAGCTTCTTCAGGTTTGGAAACAAAAGTGGTGGTGGAGATTTCCCGAAATCATAGTGGGAAGATGAACTTTTCTTTCTTCTGACTCACTAACATTTGAAAACAAAATTAGTGATTATATTATTTTAGTGATTTTGCAAAATCCTTTGGCAAGCATTTAGATTTTTTTTCCCTGAAGCTATTCATATCAATGACTGCACAGGAAGTGTGGGAAATTGTATATATAAACACTGTATCAGGAGAGTAATCAACCAACATTCTAAATCATCCCAAGACAAGACAGAGCCCATATTTGTATTTCCACTGAACACTGCACAGTGATTGTCATATAATTTATTAGCAGTGGTGTCAGTAGAGTCTGATAAGACAAATATATGTGAGGGGAAGGCTCAGGTACTAATTTATATTGAAAAAAACATTAAGCACACTTTTAGTAATTAAATGGTTCTTGACTTTTTAGACCATTCAACTACAACTACATAAATACCACACACACACACACACACACACACACACACACACATATGTATATATTCTTTTTGGGGCAAATAATCTTTGTTTGAACTCTCAAGGATTAAACTGCAAGGGTATGGAAAATATTCTTTTCCTCTCAATTGGGAATTCTGTAAATCAAAAATCATGTAGAGATCCTGCTCTGAGGGCCAGGGGCTCTACAGCATCATTGGTCTTCATAATCCAATTATAGCAGGTGGTGAATCAGGTAATTCTCCCAGAGCTTTGGAGAGCTCCACAGCTGCAAAAAGATGTAAGGCAAGGGAGGCAAGGAAGTTTGAGCATTGGCTCTATCGCTGTGCAGATAAACACCCTCCTGCATTATTACCATGTCTAATCATTAACGCGCAGGCATAAACTTTCCACTCCTTCACACCTCACTCAGTTCAGGGCTCAGGGAGACCAGAGTTAGCTTTCTCTTTTCCATCTACCAATCTTTGCCTAGGGAATAGCTGTGCTTTATCTCTCAGAACTTTTATTTCTTCCTCTCTATAACTCTTCACAGGCAACAAAACTGCTGAAATCACTTCAAGCTAGAAGGAACAAGGAGAAAAAAAAAGAAAAAACAAGCTAACAAATATTCTTTTAATGTTGCTGCCTCTTCCTGCATTGCCCCGTTTCTTTGCTTTCCTCCCCCACAAAATTACTTATTCTTCTTTTTTTTTTTTAATCAGAGTATCGCTCTGTCGCCCAGGCTGGAGTGCAGTGGCCTGATCTTGGCTCACTGCAAGCTCCACCTCCCGGGTTCACGCCATTCTCCTGCCTCGGCCTCCCGAGTAGCCGGGACTACAGGCACGTGTCACCAAGCCGGCTAATTTTTTGTATTTTTTAGTAGGGACGGAGTTTCACCGTGTTAGCCAGGATGGTCTCGATCTCCTGAACTTGTGATCCGCCCGCCTTGGCCTCCCAAAGTGCTGGGATTACAGGCGTGAGCCACAGCGCCTGGCTGAAATTAATCCTCCTTTCCTATTCTCTTCATCATCTTTTTTTTTGTTTTCTTTTGAGATGGAGTCTCGTTCTTGTTGCCCAGGCTGGAGCGCCTTGGCGCAATCTCAGCTCACTGCAAGCTGTGCCTCCCGGGTTCAAGTGACTCTCCTGCCTCAGCCTCCCAAGCAGCTGGAACAACAGGCAAGCGCCACCACGCCAGGCTAATTTTTGTATTTGTAGTAGAGATGGGGTTTCATCAGGTTGGTGAAGATGGTCTCAATCTCCTGAGCTCATGATGCGCCCACCTCGACCTCCAAAAGTGCTGCGATTACAGGCGTGAGCCACCGTGCCTGGCCCATCTTCTTCTTTTTTAAAAAACAAAACAAAACAAAACATTTTCAATCTTTTTTGTTTACCCCACACTTACTTCTAAAACTTGTCTCCAAGTACCACATCAAATGGTACTTAGACAATGTGTTCTATAGCATTTGGGGTCGATGGTTACAATAATTGCGTCCAATAACTAGTGTTTCTCACCACTCTGGCATTTGTTTGAATCTCTCCTATATTTCCTCTGAGTGTGATCAATGGGATGTCAGCAAATGTAGAGCCAGTAGATACTTTAAAAGGTCTTGCTGAAGCAAGATTGTTCTCTGGTGCATCTCTTGCCACATTTCAAAACAAAACCAACAGCTTCCGCTCGCCTTCTGGAGGTTGACAGAGAACCAGGAGAGGGAAGGGTCAGTCATGCCACCTGCCCCGACAAAGGACATGAGTGAGCAAAGACAATTCTTCTAAGCTGAGCCCAGCCCAAAGTGCCAACTCACGGAATCATGAGCAAATACGCAGCTGTTATTTTAAGGCATTAAGTTTGGAGACAGTTTGTTTCCGAGACTAGGTAACATCATCTCCCTGGAAACATAATTTCCTTAGCTGCCATTTCATGTTATCGCGGGCTCCTGGTTCCTTCTCTTACTCTTTCAATTATCTCTCTGTCTTCTCTCTCGCTTTTTTTTTTATTCCTTTTTAAATGTAGTAAAAAGTAGGACGTATTAACTTTAGTGAGGTTAGGTCACAAAGCAGGAATAAAAAGAACATCAGTACACAGGCAGTTCTCTGGGTACTGCCAACTCCACTAAAAACTGTACATGATTGGCCGGGCGGGGTGGCTCACGCCTGTAATCCCAGCATTTTGGAAGGCAAGGCGGGTGGATCACGAGGTCAGGAGATGGAGACCATCCTGGCTAACACGGTGAAACCCTGTCTCTACTAAAAAATACAAAAAATTAGCCAGGCCTGGTGGTGGGCACCTGTAATCCCAGCTACTCTGGAGGCTGAGGCAGGAGAATCGCTTGAACCCAGGAGGCGGAGGTTGCAGTGAGCCGAGATGGCGCCACTGCACTCCAGCCTGGGTGACAGAGTGAGACTCCGTCTCAAAAAAAAAAAAAAAAAAAAAAAAAAAAAAGTACATGATGGATCTAATAAGGAAACCACTCTTCTTTTGAGTCCTAAGCTTGTAATCAGAATGGTGGTCGTCATTGTTTCCATGCTATTTATAAAACTTAAGACTTTCCTAATGTTTCTTTGGAAGAAATAACAAAGGTTTTAATGTAGCATGTGTATGAACTATTGACACTCTATACTGTAACCAGGAAAAGTGAAAATTTTGGTTTCTGATTTCCCACATCTATTTTGCATCATTTGTTGCTAATGTGTAAATTTTCTGCATAGACAAAGGTTATTTATTTAGCCACAGCGAGTCACTATATAGCACATTTAATTAATCATGCGATTTTCTCTATGGCTATTTATGTACAACAGTAAAAACCAGTGCTTTGTATATTGAATAATGCTTTAGTGTGGACATATACTTGACCAACAGGATATTTAATTAAATGGGAGGTATTTTTCATTCCACTGTGTGATGCCACATTTCTGACTTTAGTAAAATCAGATGACAAAACTAAATAGTTTTCTTGCAGGTAGACCTGCCAATATGTTTTTTCAGATATGCAGTGAAGCTAGACTCCTATTTAATAGTGGAGTCTTCCTGTTGGTTATTCCACTTAGCATTTATTCCTGACATTATTGTATGCGGAGTTTTAGATATGGAAGGGTCACTTTTTGGCTGACCCACATTAAAATAGTCCACAGTCATCATAAAAGTACTAAACAAAGCATGGTAGACTCATACCTTTAGAATTTCCTTTAGATTTTAGATACTGGCAAAACCTTTGAATGATTCCTCTAATAAGCACAAGACAATAAGTATTTATTAAATTATATTAGGTAAGAACATGGTTAGATTCATTTAAAAAGTCATTACTCAATTACTTTTCCTCTAATATCTGCCTGCATGCCAGTTAACAGAAGATGTTTTAGCTAGTATTGCATAAGAGATAGTAAATCCAATAATTAAAAAAATCATTGAAAAGAAATTTTATTTAATTCCCTCTAGATTCTTGTGACATATTTGGAAGATAGTGTTTAGGGCTAGAGGTTTCAATGACGTTTCAATGACTTGCACATGAAATCATTTAGGGTGAGCTAGCTTGAAGTATTTCTCATAAGCAAGAAATAATGAAAATACTACTTAGCATAAAATATAATTTATTTCACCAAATCAGGATTATATGAGTGGTGCTGTGTTTGTTTCTCAGCCCTCTGGAATTCTACCTTCAAATGGTTTTGGTCCTCTTTTTATCTCCAACAGAAACAATCTTTTAAAAAGTAAACAATATAATCCACAAGGCTTTGACCATGGAGGTCTGCGACTATTGATGAATATGTAACTCCTATTTTCACTAAAATTCTTCCTTGTTAGGACTGGTTTCTTTTTTTTTTTTTTTTTTTTTTTTCGTTATTGTAGACTGGCCCCGAATAACTTCATTTCCCCAGAATCATTTTTTGTAGCTATTTTTACTATTTGTTTTCTTTGTCCAATTTCAATAGAAATAGTTGGAAGTGATACTAGAAATGAAGCTTACATTGGCCAATTATGTAATTTTTTATCTCTTTAGATTTGAAATATCTTAGGCCAAGAATACAAACTCGAAAAGATATGGAAACTTTAGTAGAGTTCTTTTTTCTTTTTTTTTTTTTTTTTTTGAGATGGGGTCTCACTCTGTCACTCAGGCTGGAATGCAGTGGTGTCACCTCAACTCACTACAACCTCTGCCTCTGGAATTCAAGTGATCCTGCCACCTCAGCCTCCTAAGTAGCTGGGACCACAGGCATGCGCCACTACACCCGATTAATTCTGTGTATTTTTGGTAGAGATGGGATTTCGCCATGTTGGCCCAGCTGGTCTCGAACTCCTGAGCGCAGGCAATCTGCCTGCTTCTACCTCCTGTACTGCTGGGATTACAGTCATGAGCCACTGCACCTGGCTAGTGGAACTCTAACTTGAGTCTCTGAATTTGTGATGGCCAATATGATATTTTATCAGAAGTGAAGCCTAAATTGAAAACATGATTTCAAGCATTCTACTAAAAATACAAACTTGTTTTATCTAGTTTATTTAAAGTGTATTTTTCCAAGTTATAGAGGAGGTGGTCTATTTATTATGTTAGAAAGTCCACAGAAACAAAACCTGAAGAATGGAGTGTTTACAAAAGTTCTTATAACCATACATTTTGGAATTCTTTTTAAATTAATTTTCTGGTTTTCAGATACTTATGAGAAGCCAAAATGTTTTATGATCCTCACTATGTTACAATACACTCCTGATTACTTCTTCCCCTTCAAAAGTAAATAAAAATAAACACACTCATTTTTAAATGTTCCTTTTAGTCTTAATTTAGAATGCTAGCTTGAAAGTTTTACTGTTGTGAAGGTGAAAAGTAGTTTTCGGGCCTTAGAATGCTGATATTTGGCTGAAGCTACCGATTGCAGCATAAACAGTGACTTTTCTAGAATTTGAACCTGAGTGCCAGGTTTACGTTCTGATTGTATCATGTAGTTGTGTAACATCACTTACCTAATCAGTTTCTTAGCTACTCAATGAGCTGTGACTACCAAACATGTCAATACTACCGTGTATAGATCAGTGCCATAACATGGTAGAGGCTAACTAACACATGATACTGCTATCATTGCTATTTCTGTGTAATGATTTGAGATTAACTTTTGTAAACGATAAACTAGAAATAATAGTTTATCAACAACTTTGGGTTAACATTCTTGTTTCTCGAGGAAGGAACATACAAGTGAAGGACTAGATTGCTGATGTGGCCTGGGTAGGTTTCTACTGGAATGGAAAGAGC
Source organism: Homo sapiens (assembly GCF_000001405.40). Classification (NCBI taxonomy): domain Eukaryota; kingdom Metazoa; phylum Chordata; class Mammalia; order Primates; family Hominidae; genus Homo; species Homo sapiens. The sequence goes on along the minus strand of NC_000001.11, from coordinate 239,348,855 downwards.
AATAATAGTGTTACTTCTCTATTCCATTGAAAAATAGTATTTCCTTGCATGATCACATTAAGGCTGAAGGCTTCAGTAACAGTTACACAAAGTACAGAAAATAATCCAACTTCTGCAAATGAAATCATGCACTACAGAGTATGTGCTGCTTGTTTTGCTTTTCCTTGCTATTTTGGATGGAAAAAAGTATAACTTCAATTATATATTATACTCTTCTCTGTAACAAAGACTAATTTTGTTAATCAGTAGACAAAGTAATGAAAGAAGGCGGACATGAGATTAATTAGAGGGAAAAGAGACTTCTCCTTTAATTCAATTCTCTTATGTAATTAGAGGTATTATGAAAGTTTGTAAGAGAGAAAATCTAAGTCATAGTTCCCACCAAAACACACATCATTTAAACCAGCAATAGTTATGCAGAAATCTAATCATTATTTACCTTACTCTTGGCACTTTCACTCCAAAATCTGCATATATATATTTGATCTATATATGAGGTGACTCTTACAGGTCTTGTTTAGATCACTGCTATGGAACATGTCACCCTTCATGTTTAAGAATGGACAGAATACTTTTTATAAGAAAAGACCTTTGGGTTGATACTTTAGCAATGTGAACGGATTTGAGTCTGTGCAAATGCATCCGTTGTCCAATATTATTCTTAACCAATGATAGAGGTATCAAAATTATTCTAGTTGATCTAAGAGGTCACATTTGCAAAGCACACTCATTGAGCCTCTGCTAACCCAATATGGAGAGATTGAGTAAACCCCAAATGTCTTCAATGTTATTAAAAGGATAATACTAAATGTTCTCCCTGACTCAATTTTTCCACTTCAATTGCTATATTTGATGACTAAAATTTTGCTGGCTATTACACAGCCAACATTCTTTTTTTCTATTAAAGATTTTTTGTATTAACTTTCCTTAAAATCCTCTTGAAACCACACTTAAAGAACACTGACATCTCTCTCAGAGGCTGTTTTAAAAACATCTACAGCCTTATCTTTAGAAAAAAGTCTACGTAAGCCTTTGAGATGTCAGCTCCGTTTTCACAGGGAAAAATTCATGAGATTATTGTGATGTTTTTCTATTTTATTTCAGCATTTGAGTTTTGTTAGTTACAAAAATAGGCTTACACTTTGTGAAGAAGACTTTGACTCTCATAATTTTTTTAATTGTAAATTGTTTTACTATAGGCTGTGAATCTTAGTGCTTTGGTGAATAATTCATCAGCTTTTTTTCTATGTTGTCAATCATATAGTGCCTTTTTTTGAGTGACATTTACTACTGATAGGAGCAGATTTGCCCAGCAAGCCCATTGAAGCTACAAAAAGAAAAATGCCTATTTTGAAATGAATATTGTTTTTGTCGTTTATTTTCCCCTGTTGAATGTGAAATTTTACATCTTTCTTCTTCTCCTCTAATTTATATTGCTCATCAAAAGGTAAAAAATTTGCAGTGCTCTAAAATACAGTCATCATTACCAGTAGTCTCCTTATACTTGCTTCTGTGTCCTACATTTAGGAAGTTATAATAAATTCCCATGCGGAAAGTAGGGGTCCGTTTATTCAAGAATTATTTATTAAATATTATTTAATAATTATTTATTGGATGCCCATAAGCAAAACATCATTTGAATGTGCAGCTAGAAGGGTCCTTAGCGATCTTTTAGTCAAAACCCCTCATTGTTTAGGTGAATATTTTAAGGCCAATGGTTTGAAGTGACTTCTCTAGAACCCTACAAATATCTCTTTGGTTAGAACAAAAGAGGAATAAATGCACAGCAGAGGAAGGGACAGAAAGTGGGAACATTTGACCAATTTTATTTTCTCCCTTTTTTATTGACTCAGCCACCAAGACCTGCAGGGTACTTCCTTCATAATGTTCCCCACCACTCAGCTTTACTACCACCAAACAAATCAACGTGTCTATAAATTAACATTGGTCTATTTCAACGTTTACCGTTGAGGCTCTTTGCCTGATCTTTGATTATTAATCCTAAGGTTCCCCAGCTGTGTGGACATTCATTCCAAGGGGCTGAAGTTATCTCATAGCGGGGGCTTCATATTTTTTCTCGTTTAACTCTACCTAGAATGTCTTCTATATCTTTCTCCTATCTATTTGTAGGAGCTAAATTCAGGCCTCGGTAGCAACCCATCTCTCATTCTTTTAATGTCAGGCAGAATCTACTGTAAATACTTCTTAGGGTTCAGTGAGACTGAATCCAACTGACTTGGTTTCCGAATTTGGCTCTACAACTTCTAGCTATAGCGCTTTAGGCAAACTACATAACCTCTTTGAGCTTGTTTCTTTATCTGGATTACCGCAGTATAAAGATGTATTTTAAAAGGCAGATGTGAGATTCAAACAATAAAATATACTGGAAACACTTAGGACTATCATATCGTAGGCAGACAGAATAAAATTGATCATATCTATTACTACTGTCTTGTATCATTGGTTATCTTTTTCTTTGTATGAATGCATTATCTCCAAACTGGACCCTAAAATTCATAAGGGTTACATAAATTTCTGTATCTCCACTATTTGAAGCTGTGGAATGGGATATAAAAGATCTTCAACTAATATTTGGGATGGAAATAGAATATTGTTTCTAATTTTAGTAGTTTTATATTAAAATTTTTCATTTTTACTATACTTTATTATGAAAAGACTTTCACTCAAGCATAACCTGGTTGGTCAGCTAAAAAATTATTTTATGAATATATTTATTCAGGAAAAAATTTAAGTACATTGTTTTTATTTTGAGATGAATTACAGTTACAATGAATTCTTAGAATTATAATGACTGCATTTTCACTGCAGTTCTGATATGAACTATAGTCTTGGCAACAATCTCTATGGCTTTGGATAACATCACACCAGTATCTTGCCAACCCTATAAAATGTGGATGAGCACAGTTGTGCCTCCTTCTCCCTCACAGGAAAATGTGAGAATTATTAATTCTATGCAAAATGTTTGAGTCTTGAATGCAAAGAGGTCTGAACCCATATTTAAAACACATGGGTTTGAAATTGTGGAATGCCAGAAATGGGCGACATTTGTTCTATTCCTCAACTTGACGGAATTGAATAGTTGCGTTTTTTTTTTTTTTTTAGTCGGAACCTCGCTCTGTCGCCAGGCTGGAGTGCAGTGGCGAGATCTCGGCTCACTGCAACCTCCGCCTCCCCGGTTCAAGCGATTCTCCTGCCTCAGATTCCCCAGTAGCTGAGATTACCGGCATATGCCACCATGCCTGGCTAATTTGTGTATTTTTTGTTCAGTAGAGACGGAGTTTCACCATGTTGGCCAGGATGGTCTCGATCTCCTGACCTCATGATCTGCCCGCCTCAGCCTCCCAAAGTGCTGTGGTTACAGGTGTGAGCCACCGTGCCCGGCCTTGAATAGTTTTTTTAAAACAATTTCATGGTTGGGAATTGATCTATTCCCACTGTTGTGGGACATCTTTTATTATTATTATGTGTTAAACCTAGTCTTAAGAATAAAACTTTGTTTGCAGCTTACTTCATTCTCTTTCACACCCATTTCCCCACATTTCCCATTTGCTTCATAGGTGAGATGCAGGCCTCTGTTCTCTTCTAAATTTGAAAGCAGAAAGTACTAATGTTTATATAGTACAGGAGAAGTGATTCACGAATGTTCTGCTTGCCCCCTCTGTTATTCATGAGTAAGAATGGTCCACTCAGCTGGATACTGATATCGCACCTTCAGTTTTAAACATTTTGTATTTCAAATATTTGGCAAAAACATTTACCTAGTATGTGATATTTTAATAAATTAATTTTAATAAATGAAAGAAACTTATGATCTGTTCATCTTGCAAAATAATTAATCTGCTTCCAAAAATAGCATCAGGTTTTAGGAGGTGGAAAGCAATATAGTATTTTTAATTTTGCCAAATATACAAAAAGAGATTTATATGTAAGATCTCTCTCTCCCTCTCTTTCTCCTCATAATTTACCCTTCAATATAGATATTACATAATTTTAATGATGATAACATAAAACCACATAACAGAGGGATAACGTGCTCATGGTCTTAGATCTTACTAACAAACTTGGCATTTCAATTTAATCTTCTGACAGTAGATTCAATTCCTATACTAGATCATAATTACTAAGATCTTGAAACTGTTTTCTCTTGCTAATCATACATACAGCATTTTTTTGTGAGAATGTTAAACTGTTTTGCCATAATGTAGTCTACAAATAGATTATTACCTCCCTATATCCCCCAAAATGGATATCTAACTTTTTCAAAAACCATTTTAATCATGTGTGGGCATGAAACACTGAACTTGGTGCACGGTAATGGTAACTATCATAAACTATTCTGCAATATATATATTTCACTATAAATATGTTAGTAAACTCTAGGAAACTCTCTTCACTGATAAGCCAATAATAAACTGACCCTAAGTCAGTCAGTTTATTCATAAGTCAGTAGTAATATATCTTTACTCATGAGTTATCTTTATTCATAAGTCAGTGCTCAGTTCAAATTCCCACCACATTCATTTATTTATTTATTTATTTATTTTTATTTTTTGAGATGGAGTCCCACTCTGTCGCCAAGGCTGGAGTGCAGTGTCAAGATCTTGGCTCACTGTCGCCTCTGCCTCCCGGGTTCAAGCGATTCTCTTGCCTCAGCCTCCTAGCAGCTGGGATTACAGGCACATGCCACAATGCCCAGCTAATTTTTTTGTAGTTTTAGTACACACAAGATTTCACCATGTTGGCCAGACTTGTCTTGAACTCGTGACCTTAGGAGATCTACCCTCCTTGGCCTTTCAAAATGCTAGCAGTACAGACGTGAGCCACCGTGCCCAGCCCCAACTGCATTTAGAGGTAAGCTCCTCATCCTTAGTTTTCTAATCTTCCTTTACACGTTTCTTTGGTACATTTTTTCCGGAGTACACTTCACATTATAACTGAAGGCTTAATTTCTCACTTATACTGTGAAATCCTTGAGGATAAAGTCCAGTCTTGCTAGTTTTCCTCTATCAACAGCATTTAATATAGCACTTGGCCCAGAATAGGTGTTCAATGAATGTTTATTCAAATGAATACACAGAGTTTTTCTATTATAGTTTGTTTCTCAGGGAAGTTAAATTTCTTAGAACATTGGTCTGAACTTTGTCTCAGTGCCATTTGTTCCAAAAGAGTCCCATGAGTTACATAAATTATGTTCCTTAATTTAGAAATAATGATGTGGTCATTTCAAGACAGTGAATGGAGAAAGCTGGCCAGCATCGCCGTGTCCCAGGTGTGGTGGCTCAGGCTGAGCCGGGGTCCTGCCTCTCTGCTGTGTTGCTTCCTCTCTCATTGCTCTCCCAAGGGTCAGCATTATGAACAATCTTATGCACACTTTGAGTTTTCACACTTACCTTGTTCTCAATGCTGGCAAATAAAATAGAAAGCAATGTTTTCTGTGGTCACAATTCATTTCCTTTTTCAAACTAAATATATTCATGGGTGACATATCTGAAATGTAGGCTAGTGGATCCTAATATAAAAAATGGATCTCACTTTGGGAGGCCGAAGTGGATGGCTCACGACGTCAGGAGATCGAGACCATCCTGGCTAACATGCTGACACCCCGTCTCTACTAAAAATACAAAAAATTAGCTGGGGGTGGTGGTGCGCGCCTGTAATCCCAGCTACTCCAGAGGCTGAGGCAGGAGAATCGCTTGAACCCTGGAGGCGGAGGTTGCAGTGAGCAGAGATCACACCACTGCACTCCAGCCTGGGCAACAGCGAGACTAGTTTTATACTAAGTCCAAGATGAATACGGAATGAAGGTGTAGAGAAGATAAAAAAGAATCCCTAAACAGAATCTGACACCCAGCTTCTGATTTACAGGAGTGTGTGTACACACAGACGTATAAACACACAACACTTCAGTTTTATTCACCTAATTAAAATTTATCCCAAATATTTTAATTCCATTATTTTATCAGATGAAATGGTATTTTTTCCACAAATAAAATGCATCATATTTGTGCACTTATGAATGTGAAGTTTTGATTTTTATTTTTTCTACCTCTTTATTCACAGCACAGAACAGATGGTCTAGTGTGAAAACATGAATTTACCCAGTGTGTATGATGAGACCAAGGCACCATTAGATTGTCCAGCAAGTCACAAGCTGATACAAATGTGATTTGTGAAATATTGAAGCTGTTGAATCATCTCACACTATTGAGGAGGTTCCTACTACTTATTGCGATACTAGGTTTAAGGTCAGTCTCTAAGAATAAAAGAATTTCAAATGCCTGAGTTGAATTATATATCTCTCCTGCTCCCTATTGGGTCACAAAGCTCGTGATGGTTTATTAATCTGTGAGTATTTTCTGAGTTTCTTTACTACACTCACCAACAAGCTAAAGCTTGGGCTTTAGAGATAGATTGATTTGGAACTTCTTGGCTCTCACATTGTAAATTTGGGTCAATCACTGAATCTCTCAGAATTTTATTGTTTTGACTATAAAATTTGAATAATAATAATAATTTATCTAGTTTTTAAAAGGATTATTGCTAATATATGTGACCCACTCAAGAGGTGATTGACAAATGATAGGTCCAAAAGGCATGAAATTTCTCCCAGGATGCCTTTAGGGTGTTGAAAATATTCCCTCACCCATATGAAACAATTGGCAAACCATACATGATGACATATAGATGAATCCTAAGATGTAAACTCTACACTCTTGTGAGCTATAATTTTGTATGGTATGCTGACCATTCATTGAATAAGAGTTTTGAAAGAGTCAAAGTGAAGACAAGGATGAGTTTGAGATGATTTCTTGGAGGAAGGGGTTTTTAAATAAACAGTATTTTGATAGCTAGGGGGAATTGGGGATAATTTCAGACAGGAGAAAGATACGAGCAAAGCTACAGAAGTAGAAACAAACATGAGGCATTTTCCAAGCATTTAGGGAAATAGCTTTAGAAGTACAGAGAGTAGAAGTAGAAAACGTACTTGACATGGGGGCCAGATTAAAAGGGTATTGAAAATGAGAAAATAAGAATTAATTAAAATGTTGCAAACAAAATGAAGTTAATCAAGTTTTTGGAGGAGCTGAGTACAATAATTGAAACAATATTTAATGAAAATTAAGAAATGTGGGCAACCATATAGTCAAGGAGGGGACCTATGAATGGAAAAAGTAATAATGGAGCCATTGGAAAGCAAAGCCTTAGGAGAAGTAAAAGGAAGCACTTGGTTTTACTTACATTGATTTTTAAAAGCAGTGGAATGGCTACTTGAAAATAGTAAGAAGGATCAGAGACAAAGATTTCAGGGATAACAGTGTTTTACACCTGAAATGTTTTACCTTCAATGTTTTAGATCTGAATGAAAAAAATTGAGTTCCTGGGAAGTTGAGACACAAGCCTGTGAATTGGGTTCAAGAGTCTGTCCCAAATCCCTGTCTGGTATGATTTCCATCAAAACGACATCTTACCAGTGAGAATGAATGAACTCCACAAAGGAAAGGTCATTAAGAGAAGAAAACAGGCTGGGCATGGTGGCTAACACCTGTTATCCCAGCATTTTGTGGGGCCACGGTGGGCGGATCACGAGGTCAGGAGTCCAAGACCAGCCTGACCAACATGGTGAAATCCCATCTCTACTAAAAATACAAAATATTAGCCAGGCATGGTGGCACGTGCCTGTAATCCCAGCTACTCAGGAGGCTGAGGCAGGAGAATCTCTTGAACCCAGGAGGCGGAGCTTGCAGTGAGCTGAGATCACGCCACTGCACTCCAGCCTGGGCGACAGAGCAAGACTCCATCTCAAGAAAAAAAAAAGAGAGAGAGATAGAAGAGAACAGAAGGCCTGAATATTTGGAATGCAACTTTCCAGAGGGAAGAATAAACTAAGTGCACAATGAATATCAAAGGGATGATCAGAGAGACACAGAATTAGTATATTGTAGTTCATGGAAACTGAGGGAGGAAAAAATTCTGTGGAAAAGGGACGATCAACTGCCTTAGGGCTGAAAGGAGAAGAATGACAAGTAGAAGCCACTGAATTTGTCAATGACAAGTGGGAAAGTTTAAGGCCAGTAGTGGGAGCAGGTGCCTGATTGAAAGAGGTTATGAGAGAATAGGAAGGAAATAAAGACACTGAACATTTTTAAAGAGGCTTATAAAAGGACAGTAGAGTGATATTGACTAATTTTTAAATTTCAGAATAAAGTAAGTTTACCCAAGGCAGGAGGATGGCATGAAGCCAGGAGTTTCAGGCCATAGTCAGCTATGAATGCTCCATTCCACTCCAGCCTGGGCTACAGAACAAGACCCTATCTCAATAATAAATAAATAATAATGATTTTAGGCAGACTTGAAGACAGAGAAAAAAAGGAACTAAATCAGTAAGAGAATTCAGATCAGCCAACTGTGGACAGCTGTGGAAAAAGATGTCCTCAAGGAGGAGAAAAGGTGGTCTTAAAAGACATCTAAGTTAGCTTTAGCAAAGTGAAAAGTAATGTATCTCAAGACTGAAGGGAGGGACATGAGGATATGTCTCCTTACACACAGGCAAGTGTTAAGATAAGTGAATGCTGATACAAAACATATTTGCTGTTTTTTTTTTTTGGTTTCTTGGTTTGTTTTGAGTAGAGTAAACATTGAACTCACTAACACAGGATGAGGCCACCAGAAGAGGTGAGTTCTTACTTCAGAAAGAATAGAACGTCTTCAGAATTTGTTGTATGGAGAGCAGAATTAAAGGGTAATTGTATTAGAAATATATTATGAATTAGGAATGTGTTGAGAGAATAACAACACAATGGCTGACCAACACTATCTTAAGACATTTAAATATCTCCCATTATAGGAAGCATAGCAGTAGGTAGCTCCGACATTGGTCCATCACTTCAGTGATACCGAAGCATCAAGTCAGCTTCTATGCCTTTTTCTTGGCTTCTCCCTCATGGTCCTGTTGATGTATCTTCACGGGAACAACAAAAGCTGGAAGGAAGGGGCAATGAAAACAGAAAATTTCCTCATGATGTTTTTTGTCTTTTATCAAAATCTCTCCAAGGCGCGCCATCCCTCCTTACCAACAGCTTTTCCCTTATATCTCAATTGCCCAGAACTAGGTTACAAACCTCAGAATTTAAGATATTTCCATCCAATACACAAATGAAATGGCTAAAATAACAAGAAAGAAGTGAGAAATAATTTTGAGTAGGCAAAGAACTATGTCTGTCACGTGGATTATCAGGCAATGGACCAGTCTACCATCCATGTGCTATTTGTTGAAATAGTGGAGACAAATAAGGTAGTCTGGGGATTAGAAGCAGTCAGCTCATTGTGCATTTGTTAAACCTATTTGAAATAAAAACAAAAATCTTAATGATTCACATAGAGTTGATGGCAGGTATGGGAATTTCTTTGTTTCTTTGTTTTTACAATTTCCCCAGAACAAATTATAGCACCTATTAGGAAGAAGTCCCAGGGACATACTTTTTGAATAAACCAGTGTAGAAATCATAAGCAAAAAGAAATGAAATGAGCTTAGATGAGAACAGCACACAAGAAGAGTGGACAGCAAAGACTGAATAAACTGAAAAAGAATAAAGTCAACATGAATGAAGGTAGAGGCAGGAACAGAAATGGGAGCAAATATGAGATAAGCAAGAACTTTAGAGAGTGTATCTGAAGCCAGTTTGTGCCTGTGCACAGGACCAGTTACAGACATGCCTCAGCTACATCTCTATAAATCATCGATCACCTAAGAAGTAGAATGGAGAAAAACATTGGGACAGGGGGTGTTATGAAAGTTAAGAATTCACATCAGCTGGTGAATAGGTGGCAGGAATTTCTAGGTTACCAGTGAGAGCAATATAGAGTTGCTGATTTGCCAGACCTCCTTTATGAGTGACTGCAAGTCCACTTAGTCCTGTCTGTCTCTGAAGATAGCAGCATTGCTTCTTGGCCAGGGCGGTCTCAGTGAAGGTTCACACTGATCCTGTTGTCACAAAGGCAACCACTGCCCCCAGTAGAATATTGCTGTCCTTTGCTTAATTTCCAAATCGCCGTCAGTTCACGAGCATACAGCATGGAGACCATTGATTGAAGGGGCGTGTAGGGAAGCATCCCATTGAGAATGGACCCAGCAAAACCACTACGAATATATTTGGTAAATATTTATCATTCCTTCTCCAGAAGAACCTGAGACAATCGGCAAGAGCAGAAATATGTGGGGGAAAGGATAATATGAAAACTTTTCAAGAACTCTTAGTTTTAGATCTGAGCTTAAACGTATACCAGGAAACACAATATGCTGCCACTGTCCTCCTTTTGGAGACTAGGTGATAAATGGAGTTTTGGCCAAGTCCAACCTACAGCGGGTTCAATAGGTCCATGAATATACCTTATTGGTCTAGCACTGAATATACTTTCAGTGATAAGATAATTGGCATTTGGCAGTTATCTCATACAGTTCCGTAACCTGTAATGCAAGAGTAAATTTTGTAGGAGAGATCAAGCGGAAGTCTCTGAAACGACCTGATTCCCGGGCAATGCAGTAAAACAGAAGCAATACCACATCCCAGGAGGAATGACAGAGATTGATGCCACCATAAAAGGCTCTATTTTGTAGGGTATCTGGGCAAAGACTGCTGGCCAGAGTCTAAACTACTGGTAGAATGTTTACTGTGACCAGAGGGCACATTAACTCTTTGAAGTAGGAAGGCTTAAATTACTGGAATCTCCATTGACGATAAGGATCCAGCTCTGGGTGTTTGCAAGAGTGTAAGAAGATACAACAGGAAAGGAGGTTTTTCCTGGGGAAGAATAAGAACGTAGAGCACAGTCAGGGTTCTATAATGCCAAGGTCTGGCATGAGGCTATGTTGATTTGAGGCTTATCAGAAGAGGAAATGGAATCACATTAATGAAATGGATTACAGAATTTTGCAATTACAAAATCTTATGTATAGGTGTTGAAATCATTGAAGAAAACAGTAATTTTCATTTGCTTTTTCATCAGATATTTTACTGCAAGTGGCACAAAATTTATCATAAAATGATATAGTACTTGAGGAGAAATACAGTAAAAAGTATTAGAAAGTCCTCCAGCATATCTCAGTGCTATGATTCAATTGTTTTGACCCTCCCATTATTAATCATTTTTATTATGTCATTCCTTTACAAATTTGCTCTTTTTAATATACTACTAGTACATGTTTAAAAACAACAAAAATACAAGTCACAACACAAATCCCTAGTTCAGAAAAAATAACTAGCCCATACGCAACTTTTTTACTATATTATTCTGTTCTTGAGTTTAAGACTGAGTAGCCAGCCAAAATAATAGCACTCAAAAAAATATTTCCCATCCTACTCCATGGAACCTGGGAATGTTATCTTATTTGGAGAAAGAGTCTTTGCAGAAATAATGAAATTAAGCATCCCGGGATGAAGATACCGTGCAAGACTAGGCAGGTGGGCCTTAAATCCAATGACAATTGCCCTAAGAAGAGACACTCAGAAAAAAACAACACACAGGCACATGTGGAGAAGACAATGTGACCACAGAGGCCGAGATGAGTGATGTCCTTGCAAGCCCAGGAGTGCTGACAGCCATCAGAAGCTGGGAGAGGCAAAGCATTTTCTGCCCTAGAGTCTCTGGAGGGAGCACAACCCTGCCACCACTTTTTGTTTGGATTTGTATCCTCCAGAAATGTAAGAGAATACATTTTTATTTATTTATTTATTTAGAGACAGGGTCTTGCTCTGTTCCCCAGGCTGAAGTGCGGCGGCACAATCATGGCTCACTGTAGTCTTGAACTCCTGGGCTCAAGAACTCTTCTCACCTCAGTCTCGAAAGTAGCTGGGACTACAGGTGCATGTCACCAGGCCTGGCTAATTATTTTTTAATTTTTTGTAGTGATGGGGGTTTCGCTTTGTTGTCCAGACTTGTCTCAAACTTATGGCTCTAGATGTAGAAAGAATAGTAGATCGAAATCATGGAATAGATTAAGGACTAGCAAAAATGATCTGATTTCAGAAGAATGAATTTTTTTATTATTATACTTTAAGTTCTGGGATAGATGTGCAGAACATGCAGGTTTGTTACATAGCTATCCACGTGCCATGGTGGTTTACTGTACCAATCTGAGATACCGTCTCACACCAGTTAGAATGGCGATTATTAAAATGTCAGGAAACAATAGATGCTGGAGAGGACGTGGAGAAATAGGAAAGCTTTTACACTGCTGGTGGGAGTGTAAATTAGTTCAACCATTGTGGAAGACAGTGTGGCAATTCCTCAAGGATCTAGAACCAGAACTACCATTTGACCCAGCAATCCCATTACTGGGTATATACCCAAAGGATTATAAATCATTCTACTATGAAGTGTTTATCCTAGACTCAGTTCCAAAGGAGAGGGAACTAAAATTGCTTATTTATTTTTCAAGTGTAAGGCATTTCCTTGTTTTTTTTCAGTTCTTAAAGGAATTTTGTGTAGTATTTAGCATAATTCTTATTTTGTAGGTGTGGAAACTGAGGTTTATAGAGAGCCTTATTAATAAATGTCAGACATAAAATTCAAACCTAAGTCAGTTGGTCTGCCTGTCTGCAAAGCCTGTATTGTCATTCTTCCATATCATTGTCCTAAAGGAGCAATAGATAAACCAGGGAGTGGGTAAAGTCCTGCAAGAGCTTTACACAAACACGGTGTGAGTTTATGAGGATTTTGCTCTAGCGAAGGTGAACTACTGTCATTGTGTGGCTGGAAATTACAGAACTCAGGGCAACTTTAAGATTGGAGGTTAGACTTGGAAATGTCTAGCATCTGCCTTATATATTGGGTGAGCTTCTGGATGCCCATGAGCAACTGTGCTCAACAGCATTAGGGCCTTCCAGAACCATGCTCTGAGGTGCTGAGGCTGTTTCAAGTTTCTTGAGTATGAAAGCCAAATCTGATATAAAGTCTCTACTTAGCATCCTGTCACTTAGCATCCTGTCTCTTAGCCTCTTTCCCGCTCTCTATTGCCGCTTTCTTTTCTTTCTTCTTCCCTTCCCTCTCCTCCTTCTCTACTGTTACATTGCTTAAATAAATCACTAAAATGATTAACATGCATAACAGCATCAATTTTGATCCTGTTTTTTTTAAAAAAACTCTATCTGTATCTTGTGAAATAATCCAGGTAAGAAGAACTTGTTGACAAAGTTTGAACTTTACTCTCTTACCTTCTTAAATGGTCTCAAATTAGATGTGATGAGTTCAGTTACCTTTTAGGGGCTGCCTTTCTTTTAATTACAAACATTTATTGATAATGTCTGAAACGTGATGAATATAAAACCTGCTCAATCTATTTGGCCTTATCATTATCTTGATTATTCTTTAGTGTCACGTACCAAGAATAGACTCATTCATTTGACACCAAAAAGAATTTTATATTTTCAAACTGTAGGGCTGTACTATTTCCTTCACTCATCTAATGGCCAAATGCAAAGTTTCACTTATTGAGCTATGTCAGTCCAAATATAATAGAAATTTAGTGTTTTGCTTCTTCTACTTAACATAATACAGTAATTATAAAATTCAGCCATGTTGTTGTGTGTATTAGTATTAAAAATACTTTATTTGTAATGTACAGGAAAGGTGCAAGACTAGTTCAAAGAATTCCTGTGAACTATTGACCCAGGTTCCCAAATTGTTATATTGGCTTCTCTTTCTTTTTCTGAACCATTAGGAGGTAGTTGTACACTTTATGTCCCTTTACCCCAAATACTTCATGGTATTTCCCCCAAAGAATATTATCTTACAGAGCAACAGTGCAATTATCAGTCAGAAAATCAACACTGATAGTATAGCAACATCTAATGTAGATATCTTAGTAATATTCTATCAGCTGTCCCATTACTGCCATCACTGCCCTTTATGGAAAAAGAAAAGAGTGAGGAGTTTTATTTCAGGATCCAATGCAGGATCAAGTACAGTGTTGTTTAAATTTTCAGTTAGCTTTGGGATCATTTAATCAGGAAGAGTTCCTCAGTCTTACCTTGTCTTTCATAATCTCGACATTTTTGAAAAGTGCAGACAGGCATTGTGTAATGTCCTTCAATTTGTTTGTCTCATATTTCATTATTAGATTCAGGCTATGCATTTTTGGGAATCATTATTCTTTCTATCACACAGGGGTTTAAAGGAACTGAAGAATAGAAGAAATTATATAGAATGTATATATATATTCTTAAAATATGTGATTAACTATATTAAATATAGTATACTGAAATATATGTGTACACACACACACATACAGACAAACACACACAAACATATTCAATCTTATAGTTTTCATGTGTTTAAGCAGAAGGCATAAAGAAACTTATAGGATGATGTGGCCTGGAAAAAAAAGAGTCTATAGGGGAAGTTGTCAGGACTAGTGTTAGAGGAGGGTATAATTTAAAAGTGTGTTTTGAGGAGGATGAATATCAGTTTTAACTGCCAAAATTTTAAAGAAGTACTTGGGGCTCCATGCTAACCCATCTAGTGACCTAATTAAGAGGAAGGGCCAGGTGAAGTCCTTAGTTCCGGTACGTTGACAGATGTAGCAGACAATGCCAAGAGTGGGAAATGGCAATGCACCATGATATGGTTTGGCTGTGTCCCCACCTAAATCTCATCTTGAATTCCCATGTGTTGTGGAAGGGACCCAGTGGGAGGTAACTGAATCACTGGGGCAGGTCTTTCCCATTCTGTTCTCATGACAGTGAGTAAGTCTCATGAGATCTGACGATTTTAAAAACGGGAGTTTTTCTGCACAACTCTCTCTTTGCCTGCTGCCTTCCATGTAGAATGTATTTGCTCCTCCTTGCCATCCACTATGACTGTGAAGCTTCCCCAGCCATCTGCAACTGTGAGTTCTCCATTAATCTTTCCTTTGTAAATTGCCCAGTCTTCGTTATGTCTTTATCAGCAGCGTGAAAACGGACTAATACCCACCACTTCAAAGTGCTAGTCCCAGTTGGTATCTATGATGAAAATGGGGAATCAGCAGAGAAGTACACTTTGTGAGCTGAGAACTGGCATTGAGTGAAGAAGGCAAGGCTTTAGTTGATTAAACATTGAGTTGTTTGTGCCTACATACCAGACTTGGCACAGGGTCACTGTAACTAGACATCATTTGAAGATGAGATGTGCTTAAGTGTATTCACAGGATTAGTCCTTAATTGCTTGAGTTCCAGAATGGGCTATATTTGTAGGCCTTATGGTTTCAGTAGTCATGGTTGTGCAATATGGGGAAGATAATAATTTAATAATTAAATGCATTCAATAATAATCAAACTTTGTCTTTTAGAGAGTGCACTTAAATTTGAATAAAGCTTTATTAGAGAAATAATAAACCTTATTTTTGGAAAAGTTTTAGGTTCACAGCAAAATTAAATAAAAAATACAGAGATATCTCATATATCCCCTGTCCTCGCACAAACACAACCTCCCGCACTATAGACTTCTCACACAAAAGTGGTAAATCTGTCACAATCAATGAACTTATATTTGCACATCATTATGACTCAAAGTCCATAATTTACACTAAGGTTCACTCTTCATGTTGTACATCCTTTGGGTTTTGACCAATGTACAATGACAGATATCTACAATCGTAATATCATGCAGAATAGTTTGCCCAAAACATCTTCTGTACTCCACCTATTCATTTCTCCCTCCACACAAACCTCAGACAAACACTAATCTTTTTTACTGTTTTCATAGTTTTGCCTTTTCCAGAATATCATATAGAATGTTGGAATCCTGCAATATATAGCTTTTTCAGATTGGCTTCTTTCACTTAGTAATATGCATTTAAGTTTCCTTCATGTTTTTTTCCTGGCTTGATATAGTGTTTCTTTTCAGCATTGAAAAATATTCTATTGTGTGGTTGTTTATTTTTCAGCTCACCTACTGAAGGGCTTCATGGTCACTTCCAAATTTTGGCAATAAAGCTGCTGCATACACCCTGTACTGGGATGTTATGTGGATATAAGTTTTCAGCTCGTTTAGGTAAATACCAAGGAGTGTGATTGCTGGATTGCATAGAAAAAGTCCGTTTAGCTTTCTAAGATACTGCCAAACTGTCTGTCAACATAGCTGTAACTATTTGCATTCTCACCAGAAATGGATGAGAGCTCCTGTTGCCCCGCATCCTCACCAGCATTTAGTGTTGTCTGTGTTTTGGATGTTGGCATTCTAATAGGTATGTAGTAGGATCTTATGATCGTTTTGCTTGTCAATTCTCTAATGACATATACTATTAAGTATATTTCCATATGCTTACTTTCCTTCAGTAGATCTCCTTTGATGAGATGTCTGTTTAGGTCTTCTGCCCATTTTTAAATTGGATTGTTGTTTTTTATATTGTTGAATTTTAAGAGTTCCTTGTATATTTTGGATAACAGTTCTTTATCTGATGTGTCTGTATTAGTCCCTTTTTTACATTGATGATAAAGACATATCCGAGACTGGGAAGAAAAAGAGGTTTAATTGGACTTACGGTTCCACATGGCTGGGGAGGGCCTCAGAATCATGTGGGGAGGCAAAGGGTACTTCTTACATGGCGGCAGCAAGAGAAAACGAGGAAGATGCAAAAGCTGAAACGCCTGATAAAACTGTCAGGTCTTGTGAGACTTATTCACTACCACAAGAACAGTATGGGCAGAACTGCCCCCATGATTTAAATAGTCTCCCACTGGGTCCCTCACACAACACGTGGGAATTACGGGAGTACAATTCAAGATGAGATTTGGGTGGGGACACAGAGCCAAACCATATCACTGTCTTTTGCAAATATTTTCTTTTCAGTCGGTTTTGTCTTCTTTTTCTCTTGACAGTGTCGTTCACAGTGCAGAAAATTTTAATTTTAATAAAGTTCAGCTTATCAATTCTTTATTTTTTTTCTAGATTGTACCTTCAGTGTTGTATCTAAAATGCCATCCCATACTCAAGGTCACTTAGGTTTTCTCCTATGTTATCTTTTAGAAGTTTTATAATTTTGCATTTTGTAATTTGGTTTGTGATTCATTTGGAGGTAATGTTTGTAAAGGGTGTAAGATCTGTGTCCAGATTCTTTTTTTTCTTTCTTTTTTTTTTTTTTTTTTGCATTTAAGTGTCCAGTTGTTTGAGCACCATTTGTTGAAAAGATTATCTTTGTTCCATTGTATTGCTTTTAGTCTTTTGTCAAATATCCATTGAATGTATTTATGTGGGCTTATTTCTGGGTTCTTTATTCTATTCTTTTGATCTCTTTGTCTGTTCTTTTGCCAGTAACACACTACCTTGATTACTGTAGCTATCAGCAAGTCTTGAAGTCAAGTAATGTCAGTTCTTCAACTTTGTTTCCCTTCAATATTGAGTTGGCTATGTTGGGTCTTTTGCCTCTTTATATAAACTTTAGCATCAGTTTGTTGATATCCACAAGATAACTTGCTGGGATGCTGATTGGGATTGTGCTGAATGTATACATCAAGTTTGAAAGAACTGACATCTTGACAATATCAGGTCCTTATCAATGATCATGGAATATGTATCTATTTATTTAGTTCTTTGATATCTTTCATCACAATTTTATAGTTTTTATCATATAGATTTTGTATTTATTTTGTCAGATTTATACCTAAGTATTTCATTTTTTGGAGGTGTTAATGTAAATTGTGTTGTGTTTTTAACTTCAAATCCCATTTGTTCATCACTGGGATATAGGGGAATGATTGAATTTTGTATATTAACCTTGTACCCTGCAACCTTGCTGCAAGTGCTTATTGGTACCAGGAGGTTTTTGGTCCACTCTTTTCAGATTTTCTACATGGATGATCTTGTTATCTGTGAACAAAGACACTCTCTTTCTTTCTTCCTGATTCATATACCTTTTTATTTCCTTTTCTTATCTTGTTGCATGTGCTACAGCTCCCAGTATGATGCTGAAAAGCAGTGGCAAGAGGGTGTATCCTTGCCGTGTTCCTAATCTTAGCGAGAAGGCTTTGAATTTCTCACCATTAAGTATGATGTTAGTTGTAGGTTTTGTAGATGTCTTTATTGAGTTGAGAAAATTCCCCTCTATTTTTAGTATGCTGAGAGTTTTTAGCATTAATCAGTGTTAAATTTTGTCAGATGCTTTTTCTGCATCTGTTGATATAATCATGTGATTTTTCTTCTTTAGCCTGTTGAAGTGACAGATTACACTAATTGTATATCCTTGCATAAGTGAAATAAATCTCTCTTACTGGTGGAATATAATTCTTTTTGCACATTGTGAGATTCAATTGTTGTTAGCAGAGAGTGATAGCTTCCAAGCTTCTTATGTGCTGAACCCCAAGCTGGAAGTTTTCAATAAAGCTTTTCATCTATGTGAACTCTTAACAATATTTAATTTGTTATGAAGATTAAATAGGTACTGCATGCATTGCATATGCTTCCAGCCTACATAATAGGCACTCACAAATGAACTATCAATGTTCTTCTTATTAGCTTTCTGTGTCACGTGAAGACTCTTTCCTGCCTTATCTCTTACGATAGCCAACATAAAACACGTTCTAGTCACACCAAGTCCTCTAATGGTCCTCAGGCATGCTGGACATTTTATCATCTCTCTATGTTGGTACGTGCTGTAACTCTCATTGCCTTTCAAACTCTCCTTCATCTTTAAGTCCACATTCATTGTAATTATTTGTTTATTTGCTACTAGACAGGAAGGCCACTCATTGTTGTCGAGGTCTGTGTCTTGGTCATCTTTATATCCCCAGGATCTAAAACCCGTCATTGCTTGGCACCTAGTTGGTGACTGTTTTTATCTAAGTAGTTTACATATACTACATGATAAATGTTATTTGCCATTATATTTCCTTGCTTAGTATTAATGGAATTAATGTATTGGTAAATTAGTTATTTCAAAATAACATTTTAAAAGTGTCTATCAGGTTTCAGTCCCTGTAGATGCAAAAATCATGATTAAAAACCAACTCAATCATACTGTTTATATCCTTAAAGTGTTTATAATTTAGTGGTGTGACTTGGGACAGGAAATTATAATATAATGTGCTAATTACAATAGTAGACATATGGACAAAGTACTCATGAGAGTTCACTGTGGGAGCCCCTAGAAACAGAATGAGGGTTCTGAGAAGATTCCTTGAAGAAATTATTATCAAGTTCTTTCAGGAAAGTAGAAGTCAGGGATTGGATTGGGAAAGTCTAGCAGAATGATGTATCTGAACAACAGCAGTGATGAAATGCCAAGATTGTGAGTGTGTGAAATGTAGGGTGTACTGTTGGAGAAAATGAAATTACAAGTAATGGTAATAAGCATGCACTCTATCCCACCTAGTGACTGAACTGAAAATGCGTAGATTCCTAAGATATAGGACACTGCTGAGATTAAACATACTGAATTCCAAAAATACTAAATTCAAAGAAGACCATATAATGATGTCAGAAGCCCATAATTCAAACCAAATGTGAATGAGGCAAAATTATTTATTTTCTTTTTATTACAGCAGAGATAAAAAGGGGAAATCTAGCTAAGGAAAGAGAGAAGTAGTAGAGAAGAAAATTGAAGAATGTAAGCTTCTTCATCCCTACTGTGGGGGTGTACTCAAAATGTCTTCCCTTAAAGATAGAGCCTCTAAGAGCATTGTCTGGACATTAGAGACATTATTATGAATACAGGAGACTAGAGTTTGGTGATGATTGCTTGGCAGCACTGCAAGTAACTTTAGGCAATTTTGCAGTGTAGATAGCACAGAACTTGAAAAGGGACATAACTTGGTGGGAAGGGCAAGGATATCCCTCAATTTCCCTTAGAGCTGGGTTGGAGTGGTAGAGATCCAAGGTTTCCAAAGGGCCTAAAATGGCCTATGAAAAAATCTGAATGGGTGAGCCACCTTCCCAGGCACCACACAGGGCTACCTATTGCAGTAAGCGGGCTCTATCAGCCAAGACTCTGGATGGAAGCCCCTCTGGAATAAATTTTGAGGGATGTGGCCATACTTCCCTGCCCTAGGGTACAGCTGGGGACCCACAGACATAGCAAGCTTTATATCCTGCGGCCAGTGTTGGGTGCTGCTTGGGCTGAATGAGCCACCTGGACCCTGCCTGCCTCTATGACGGGTCAAAGACAGTAACAACAGAAAACAGAAGGATTGCACCAACCAGATACACAGCATCTCTCCCTTAAGGAGGACAAGCACGTAAACCCACAGCTGCTTTTCCACCTGCAGCCATGGTGGAAAAGGACATAAGAGGCCTGAGGAAGGAGAAGTGAGAACAGGAGGTGAAGACCTTGAGGCAGGGAGGAAGTAAGGCACGGTGGATAGTGACGGAAAGAGTAATACTTGTATTTAGCTGAATCTTTACCCAAAGGAAGCCAAGTTTTAAACTAAAATTGAAAAGAATACCTGGAAATGTCATAATTTTGTTAACCCTTGGCCCTTGAGGACAGCAGGCTTGAGAAAGGAAACCAAATTTATATCAAAACAGAATTTTTTTTCCTTACAGACATTTAATTTTACTGTCTAATTCCTACCTGTTAACAATTACAGTTAGATGGTACTTTAATATTCTAAGCACTTTCCCATGCAACCAGCAAGCTTTCACTCTTGTGACTTGATAAGTAACAATCTATGAATATTATAATCATAGTGCATTGTGTCATTTTAACCTGACAGTAACTGAAATGGGGAAGGATGGCATTAATATTTCTTAATAAGAATAAACAGCTTCGGAAATGTGGTGACTTTTGACACCTAGGCCAGTGATTATTCTAAAGATCTGTCATAATTATCCCCAGATCAAAATTCTTAAGGCTTGGTTCAGGGACCTCCTCCCAACCCCCGCATCAGAAATGCTTGGAATATTTGTTAAAAATATAGATTTTTGGCCCTGAACCTGATCTATGGAATCAAAATATATGGGAGTGAAGCCTAGGGAAACAGCATCTTCACCATGTTCCCAGGGTATTTAATGTTCACTAAAATGTGAGAACTATTGTAGACCACATTGCTTCCCTAGATAATGTATAATCCTGAAACGGCTTTAGAGTTTAGTTGTAAATAAGACTTAGAAGGTATCAAATTCTACTTTTGACCTTTGCCAATGAAGGATCCATTTAGTAACCTTTCCTTTTGCCTCCCAAACAAGCACATGAAAAAATAAAATATTATATCTTGACTGTAAGAGGTTGTGATTAAATCTTTCATATTCTAAAATTCTACAGCTGACACCTTTGATCCATACAGACAGAAGCCAGTCCCTTTAAAGTAGAATATGCCAAATGACTTTTCCTTCACTTCTAGGTAATTAGTTTTCCTATGGGTTATCCTGAGCCTCCTTTTCTCTGTAGCTTCAGACCTGTAAGCCTTCTGAAATTTGGCAATAAATATTTTTGCACTTATTTACTTATTCTATGAGCCATTGCTATTTGCTCAGATGTGTGAGTGTGTTTGACTTTAGCATCATTTCTTTTTTTTTTTTTTTTTTTTTTTTTTTTTTTTTTTTTTTTTTGAGACAGAGTCTCACTCTGTCGCCCCGGGCTGGAGTGCAGTGGCAGGATCTCGGCTCATCACAAGCTCCGCCTCCCAGGTTCACGCCATTCTCCTGCCTCAGCGTCCCGAGTAGCTGGGACTACAGGCATCCACCACCATGCCCAGCTAATATTTTATCTTTAGCAGAGATGCGGTTTCACCATGTTGGTCAGGCTGGTCTTGAACTCCTGACCTCAGGTGATCCGCCCGCCTCAGCCTCCCAAAGTGTGGGGATTACAGGCATGAGCCACCACACCCCGCCAATGCCTCTCATTTTTACCATACATAACTCAAATCTGTGATTATCCCATCCCAGCTACCCCAATTAGGGCTAATCTAATATGACAACTTATCACCAGGACAAAGCGTTGAAAAGGTTGTGGTCATATACCTCTTATCCCTTTCTCCCAGCTCATCATATCTCCTCCCTCTCTCTGAAGTCCACATTCCAATTCCCATTTCAACTCTAAATGCCCCCTGGGTCTGTTTATCCAGTTGTATAACAGGACTTAAAACTTAACATTCTCCAAAATTGAACTCTTACTTGTCCCCAGATTGCCATTCTTCCTAGTATTTCTCACAGTTTTCCCTATCCCGGAGAATGGCTTCACCATTGCCCAGTGGCATAGGCATGAAAACGGAATCCTCTTTTGTTTCAATCTTTTTTTCATCTCCAGAACTTACTCATTGTCAAGACTTTCATCTCTATCTTCAGAATGCATTCTGAATTGACTATTTCTCATCTTTTCATTGCACTGTAGGTCAAGCTACCGTGATCTTTTTTCTTGTAATACTCAAGTATTCTAGCTTTCACTGGTATTTCCTTGCAATTCACACAGTATCCAGAAAAGTGTGCCATTCAAGGTTCCTCTCCAGAGCTTCCTGACACACTCAGGATAAAACACAATCTTTTTACCAAAGCCTAAAGCCCAAAACCCTCTGCCTCTATCTGCAGCCCCTTCCACTGTTGTTCTTTGAAAATTGCCCACTCCCCTCTAACTTGGTTGTCATTCTTGCTCTTCTATAACACCCAAGACTTGGGGCCTTTACATGTGCTCTTCCCCCAGATATTCATTAGGCTGATCCCTAACTTAATTTATATTTATGCCCAAAGGTTATCTCCTTAGGATTTCCTTCATTGGCCACATCCCAAAATGTCTTCTGTCTCATGTAAGCTTCTATTTTCTTACCCTGTGTTATTCTTCCTCTCTGTATACATCACTTCCGTGTATACAATATGTTAACTTTTTATTTGTTCATTTTCTGTTTTCCTGGGACTCTTCTCATCATACTCACCGTTCTATTCCAGTACCTTGAATAGTGCCTAGTCCATAGTAAGTACGCAAATACTGAATGCATTCTTAAATTTTTGAGTGAATGCCAGGTTATCCTTTCTCTTACCATTTACCCTCCAAATTCTAAGAATCCTGTGACTTGGACAATTCACTCTGATGCAGCCCTGTATTACCAGGATTTTAAAAAAACTTTATATGTGAAACTATATATGTGTGTGTGTGTGTGTGTGTGTGTGTGTGTGTGTGTGTTTCTCCTCAAATATATCCAAACTAATTCATTCTTGCTGCCCCTATTTCTAATGTGCACGCACATTTATTACTCCTTCACAATTTGCCATTCATGTCTAACAGTTCTCAACAGCTCTCTCAGATGCCACCAAACGACCTCTTTATTTCTCTCTATTACATATCATGGGTTGTTCCTGTTCCTTCTCAGAGGCAGACCTAAGTTTGTTTTTGTTTTACCAACCTGATATCTATTTACCCTTTTCTTGGTAACTTACCCAGTCTTTTACAGGGGAACCATTTGTTCCCCTTTTCAATCCTGACACTTTAGATAGAGGTGACTTCAGCTGTGAGTAGAAGCCTTGAGTCTGATCAATCAGAAAACCACCAGCTATAATTAAAGTTTTTTGTGATGTACCTTGACCCAACTCAGGCCAATGAGAATCGGGGCTGTGTACTTTCATAAGCACTGGGGAAAAGAAGACATTCCTTTTCACTAGCTCTGGACATGAGAAGATGTGGGCTTGGAGCCACTAGCAGCCATGCTGAAATCACATTGTGTTTGAAAATAAAATCGACATATGGACAAGAACAAAACTGAAAGGCGGAGAGAGACCAGAACCTGATGACACTTACTGATTTCCTGAATGATCACTTACATAACCGAATATATTTTTTCTCTAAGTTAGTTTAAATTGGACTTTCTATCTGTAAAGAATATTTAGCATAGCTCCTTTCCTATTTTAAGACTCACTATCTTCTTCTCATGCAACCATTGGTTTAATCCAATACTAAATCCACTTTACCTTGCTGCCTTCTCAAACTTTACTCTTTCTTTTTTCCTAATTTGTTGGATTATAAGCTTTTATATCTATAGGGAAAATCTGACCTTATTGATCACTGAGAATGTCCTTCTTGGAACATTTTACCTCCCTTCACTTACAAGATAGAAATATCTTACTAAGTTCTCAGTCTGTCTCCCTGACCATCCTCTCCCTATTTTCTGGTTCTTTTACTCCTTCCTTCCTTGGAGTTCATCCACTACTGATGCTACAATTATCATATCTCTTATTTTACTTGTGAACAAAATTCTTAATGTCTAAGCTTGAGTTCATTTTCTTCTAAAGCCTGACTCTGCTGCTGACTTCCACTAATAATTATATGGAACACCTCAAGGATGAAAAGAGGAAAATAAACCAGAAATGTAGAGAGAGATTGGCCAGAGAGAGAAAGAGGATTTGTGTCTTCCAAAATATTTCTATGTCTTGTAGGTCAAGAGAAGTGAGTGCTTCAAGAAGGAAGGGATTCTCAATATTGAACCTTTCAGTCCTTAGGTTCAGAAAATTGGAACTGTTTTTGATTTATTAATGTATCTTCTACTCTCTGTTTCGTTAGTTATA
Source organism: Homo sapiens (assembly GCF_000001405.40). Lineage (NCBI taxonomy): Eukaryota > Metazoa > Chordata > Mammalia > Primates > Hominidae > Homo > Homo sapiens. The sequence goes on along the minus strand of NC_000001.11, from coordinate 239,324,375 downwards.
CTATCTTAAAAATGTGTTTCTCTCTTCGTCAGCCCATGGAAAGAGTTGGCCAACTGCATTAGCTGAAGGATGGGAAAGCCTGATGAAATAGTGTGAGTTTCAGAAATGCAAGGAGACACATTGCCTAGTGCTAATACAGAATTTCCAAGGGTTCCATCAGAATAGAATATGGAAAAAATTAGAAGGATTCATTTTCCTAGAAAATTGGGATGAGATAATGTGCTAAGAGAAAGAAATTGGGAAAAGACTCCAACATGACTTGAGATATCTGATGAGATTTACCCTTGCATAGCAGTGCCCTGGAGTCTGGTAAGGCACATAAAAACCTTGGCTGGAAAGTAACTACCCAAGATATCATCAAAAGAGTTTGCCAATCTCATAGGGCTACAGAATTGGAAGTAGGTTAGGATCCCGTCAGAGAGACTAGAGTAGCTGGCTGTTTTCTGATCTATTGAAGAAGAAGAAGAGCAAAGATGGACGTATCCCTCACAGCTATTTTAGGGCCAAAAGGAGGAAATGTGACAATGAATGTCTCTAACTATCATAGTACTAATAATAGTCATAGTAATATATTATTGACTTTATTATTTTTTACATTTTGATTTTTCCCATTCTCAACCATCAGATTTATCTTTCCCAAACAGAAATTTGTTAGTGGCTATATATATATATATATATATATATATATATATATATATATATATATATATTTTAACTAATATCTCAGCAGTGATTCCATTATCTTCTGAATAACAAATAGCTTCTTTAGATTGACAGTAAATACCTTCTACAATTAAATCTTGGTTCACCTTTCAGCCTTCTATTAAATCACTTTCCTATGGCTTTGTCAAAATAGGTGGCCTCCCAGTGAGTTATTGTGTCCTGTTGTTTCCCTCGCTTTGCTCATGCTCTTTTTCCAGGATTTCAAATCCTAATGTCACATGCGGAAGTCCTAAACATCTTCCAGCTCAAATATAGCCTGGAGCAGTGCTCTTCACAACCCCAGTTTAGAAGTTATCTTTTCCTTCTCTATACTCAGATTGTACATTATTTGAGGTGTCAGAAAATACAAACATAATCGCTTTTTCATAATAGATTATACATTCATTGAGTTTTGGGACTACCTAACTATACTTTGTGAACTTCAGAGTCCCAGGGTCAGTGTGTCAAATGCAGCAAGTATTCAATAAATATCTGAAGATGAAAAACAAGGACTAAGAAAGGCTATTTTAAAAATATCAACAACAAAAAACAAATGTACCATCTGCTTTAGATTTACGACGTAAAATTCAGCTTCAAGTTTACTTTTGTCAGATTGTCACATGACATTTTTCAATGAAAAAATTAGGAGAAGCAAGAGTAATTTTTATTAATGGTTACAAGAACTTATTAAGTTATCAAAGGGCTTTGGAGAAGCACTGGGCTTTTTATAACATGTGGCATAGGGATGTCCTGTAGAGTAAATAATTGCTATGCTAAGAGAAGTCAATAAATGTGTATAACAGCTGTATCTCAAATTTAAATAATCTTTTTCACAAAGGGAATTATTTTAAGATGTGAAAAAGTTTTTTGCTTGCAGAAATCAGTATCTAAAAAAAGATTATTCTCAAAACACCCTTCCTTTTGTCACTCTTAGAAAAACAAAAAGACAACTTAAAATAAATACAATGTCATCCAACTTCCCCTCCAACATGCATAGCAGTTAAAAAAAAATCTAAGAACAAATGTGTATCTAGCTGGCGCCAAATTGAACCCAATGCAAACCGGAGCGCCTTCATAATAAACACTTTAGAATCATCACACAATAAAATGTTGACACATCCTTCAGTGTAACAAAACTGCTAGGAGCCACTTTCAGTGCCAATTGCAGAGTGTGACTGCACAAGAAAAGTGAGGGAGGGGTGAGAGGCGAGAGGGGGAGAGAGAGAGAGAGAGAAAGAGAGAGAGAGAGAAAGAGAGAAAGAGAGAGAGAAAGACTTTAAGAGGGTCAATAAAAGCTGCCAGTTCAGTGGCATCTAATTTAATGTAATTGCTCTTGTGGTATTGGTAACTGAGCCACAAAATAGTTCACAGAGCCCATTGATTTCTTTCCTGGGATCCATCCTCCTGAAGCTTTTGCATCTCTTGAACAAAAAATTAAAAAAAAGGGAGGACAATTATCAAGACAAACATCTGAACAAATACATGTTATTTATATAGAGCAGGGTGGTTTCTAGAGCTGATCCCTTACCTGAATTGGCATATCAATTATTTGTACCTTTCTGCCTCCTCTTACGTAAACTCAAAGCTGTGCCATGCCTTGCTGATTTACTCTGATAAGGTTCCTCTGCTTAACTTTAACAGCCTTTGGCATGACCTTGGGTAATGCATTCACATAATATTAATATCTGACATCATGTGCATTAACTGGAAATACTAAATTAGAAGACCAAGCCCACAAATACAAATGTATGCATTTTAAAATAAAAGTTAAGGAACATTGCTTATTTAGACTTATCAGTTCAAAAGGAAGAAATAAATCTACATTACGTGACGATATAAGTAATTTGTCATATTTCCAGGTATGCTACAATTTATGATCTATCTACACACTAGAAGCAGACATGATCCTTACAAATCAAAACAAAAAACCCAAATAATGCCAAACCACACTGTTCACCACATATTTCATATTTTCTTTCATAAAAGCAGATCTGTTGCCAGTGTGGTCAGGTAGATTTATTTGACTCATCAAATGTTAGGAAAAAGACTCGGATAAGACCATAAATAATAATTACTACCACCACCAGAACACCCAGTGTAATATTAATTTAGTAATGATAGAGAGAGTCAGAAATTTTACTTGGAAATTTTAACATTATATATCAACATGCTAATTGTATAGACAAGAAAACACAGCTATTGGCAGAGCCTGGACTAATATCCAAATACCAGTTCTCTCTACATCATTATCTTGCTTTGATTTCCATTTTATTTTAATAGAGAAGGCATAGCTCTGGGAATGGAAAGTAGAGTAGTTCATGGGAAGATGCAGTGACGATATACAGCTTGCATTGTGGAGCAAATAAATATATGAGATAAGACGTGAAAGCACAGTACCTCTTATTGTAGGTGTGTAATAAAAGTTTGTTGAATTAATATGATAAATGAATAGATATTAACCTATAATTTGGTCATAACCTTCATAACATAAATGTCCAATATCGCATAGGACAGCCTTTCAGCAGAAACTATTCTACTGTCAGCTTGATTTAAAGCAATACAGATAGAGTCAGGATTTCATGAATGCCCTCATTTCTGAAAATGTAGTTGTTGTTGATTTAGCACAGCATGGACTATTTATATTTAAAAGGTGACTTCTCCCTCCATCGCATTACTAGCAATAGAGAAAGGTTAATGGATGGACTCACAATTAAAGAAAATAAGCATATAAAAATAAAATATTCATTGAGAGTATTTCTTACTGTTCTTAGTTTGTTGGGCGTGATTTTACTAAATGTACATTTTAAGTTATTTAGTGCATAAGGTACTAGGATGCCTTAAATACTACTTTGAACTTAAAATTCCTAACTATTTTGTATTGTGTTATTTAACGAACAACTAAACCTATCGCAAAGGTGTTTTTTTGTTTGTTTGTTTTTTGTTTTTTTTTCTTGAGAGAGAGTCTCGCTGTCACCCAGGATGGAGTGCAGTGGCATGATCTCAGCTCAGTGCAACCTCTGCCTCTCAGGTTCCAGTGATTCCCCTGTCTCAGACTCCCAAGTACCTGGGATTACAAGAGCCCACCAACACGCTGAGCTATTTTTTGTACTTTTTTAGTAGAGGCAGGGTTTCACCATGTTGGCCAGGCAGGTCTCAAACTCCTGACCTCAAGTGACCCACCTGCCTCAGCCTCCTAAAGGGCTGGGATTACAGGAGTGAGCCACCATGACCAGCCTGGGAGGCGCATTTTAGTCCCTAAATATCTCCTATTTGTGAGAATTTCTCATCAGTAAAGTACTCTCATCCCCTTAGCCCCATTTGCTTATTCATCAAGTGACACTGCAGTCAGGCAGGCCTGCTGGCTGGAGCAGTTTGTGCTTCCTAACAAAGTCTCTTTCTGATTTTTTTCCCTGTGTCTGTTTCACCTCCTATTGATAGTGCTGGCCTTAACTATCAATTCCTGTCATTTCTCCACTGAAGTTCTTTACATCACAGCCAGGTCTTGTTGACAAGGTGGGGTCGAGCAAGCATGCAGTTATTTGAGTAATTTAAGTCACCACCATGCTCTGTCTCTATTGCGTGGACAATTGACTTGCTAGGAAGGAATTCAATAGTGAAGAGATGATTAACTTGCAATTAATCAGGCAATTCAAGTCAAAGCAATGTTTTTTGCTTGAATTATCCAGATAATTTCTTCAAATCTATATTTTGTGTTTACTAACTGAAAACTAACCTCGGGAAGCATGGTTTGGGGCTGCCAGCAGCCTGAGGGATCCCAACTCAAACACTCTTCCCTGGAACTCATGATCAGCAGCTCGTTCATTCTATTTTTATAAGATGAATACAGTACATAACTTCACATATAAGGAGCAACTAGATAAAGTGTCTTGTGTAACTATGGAGAAATATGAAGTTGTGTGAGCTTAATAGATCATCATCGTTAAAACTCAGCCACATAACCTCTGTAATTGCCCTTGGCTCGGAGCAGGAGATGAGGGATGATATTGCATCTTCTGCAGAATCAAGTCAACATCAGCCTAATTATAGAATAGACTAAGGACTATTCTTAGTCTATTCTGTAGACTGAGATATTGAGGAGCTAAGGGATGAATAGTCATAGAGAAAGCAAGGTAAGAGAGGAAGTCAAGGCCAGGTTCATGTGGTTCTTTAGGTAAGAAATTTGGACTTTATTCTACATTTGATTGCAGGACTTTGAGTGGGAGAATGACATTAGATATTTTACATTTTAAAAGAATCACTTAGTCTGTGTTTTGATTTCTGGATAGTAGTGGGATAAGAGACAGATCACGGAGACCATTTAAGAGGATACTGCACTCTATGCATTTGACTACAATTGCAGCGAAGTGAAGAATCTATGGATTCACAATTTATCTTGATGGGAAAGCTGATAGAATTTGTGATTATTTGGATTTGGAGTATGAGCAAAACAAAGGACTTAAAAAAGGATTCCAAGGATGTCAGCCTAAATGAACAAGTGAATGGTAGTGCCATTTACTGAGATGAAGAAGACTCAGGGGGCCAAGGTTTTTGGTGTAGAGAAGCAAGAGTTCATTCTCAGACATACTAATTTTGAGGTTTATACTGGTCATCCATGTATGGATGCTAAATGGATAATTAGATGTCTCATTCTGGAGTTCTGGAGAGATTCAAATAGAGAATTAAAGAGAAGGTATCTTTAAAGTGAAGCAAAGATTGTCTCATGGAGATCGTTGTATGGAAGAGAACTGCCTCTTCGTCGATGCCATTTTCAGTTCCTGGATAGCCTTACTTCTTTTTTCTTTACATCCAGAAAAAATTCTAGCTTCATTCTAATAACAAACAAATACCCATCCTTATAACATCTTAATTCTTTGCTCATACAAGAATTACAATTTCCTGCTCAGAACTACTCCTGCCATTTTGGGTTTTACAGTGTTATCTTCCTTATTTTATCTTCTCTACCAAATTATGATTCTGCGTTTCTCGCTTTCCACTTTGTTTCAGATTAGGTTCATATTCACTTCTCACATTAATTTCGTGAGACTCTGACCTGTTCTTTTTTCTGTGCCTATATTCCACTGATTTGCATTTGTACCATATTGGTTTTATACATGATTCAACAAGCAGTTTTGAAGAATTAATATATGGTAAAAATTGTTGTCCTATTGCTTTGTATACGTTCTGATTCTTATTAATATCAATCACAATATCTAGAAAAGTGTCTTATAATAATGGTAACAATAGTAGTAATTCAGACTCACATAATAATAACTAGTGCTTCACTCTTTGCAAAGAATGTTCACATAGACGATATCACTTAAGCCTCTAGATAAGACTATGAGGGATATATTATTGTTCATTCCATTTTATAGACATTTATATTGAGTGTCTATTATGGCACCTGTTCAAGGAAATAAAGAAGATGTAGAGAAGGGTGGAAAAATGACACCTAGTCCCATTGGTTTATAATTTGAAATAATGTTTACATTTAATTAGACAGAAAATAAGAACAGACCAAAGGTACAGTTGTGAAGCAATTGAAGGTTCAGTGACCTGTTTTTTATGAGCAAACACTGTTAAGCATGAGAACCAGAAACAAGATTTCCAACAGTTCCTTACACCACAATTGCAGTTGTTTTTAAGTGTGTGGTAATTATGTTGCCAGTTGTTTTTTTGCTGTTGTTATTTTTTTAAAATAAAAATAAAATTGAGGCTTGGCGGCTCACACCTGTAATCCCAGCACTTTGGGAGGCTGAGGTGGGCGGATCACTTGAGGTCAGGAGTTCGAGACCAGTCTGGCTAACATGGTGAAACCCCATTTCTACTAAAAATACAAAAATTAGACAGAGCGTGGTGGTGAACACTTGTAATCCCAGCTACTCGGGAGACTGAGACAGGAGAATCGCTTGAACCTGGGAGGTGGAGGTTGCAGTGAGCCAAGATAGCGCCACTGCACTCCAGCCTGGGGGAGAAGAACAAGACTTCATCTCAAAATAAATAAATAAGAAATTATGCAGGCAGTGGGATTATACCATTTCAAATCATTTTATGTCAAAACACAGACTCATTTATTAGAAAGGAGAAACATCCCTGCTTTATAAAATTACCGGGATTGTTAAGGAGTAAAGAAAAAATAATAAATTACTCTATGCTTGTCTGTATAAAACATTCCCAAGCAAAATAATGAAAGGGTGCATAAGACTTAGAAACCACAGAGATTTTTTTTTTCCTTCCTCTGTCTATTACAGTAATGAGCACTCTTGTGTGGTTGTTTCCAAGGAAGGTTTAGTTTACTTTGTCAACTCAAAAAATTCCTTCCTCATCATGAGAAATTACATGAAGGAAGGAATGGGCCCCAGTGGATTCCTTCAACATCTGTATTAAGAAATTATTTTTATCATTAGTGTCTTGTGACCAGAAGGCATTTTTGCTTTTGTTCAGAATGAGTTTCTTTAGGGTAACGTATTCGCTCTTTTGAGTTTGACGAGCAACCGTGAAACAAGCTGTGTACATTTAAATAAATCATCTAATTCCTCAGTCCTTAATTGCCCCAGCTATGAAATGAGATAGTTGAATTATGTGATCTCTATTCTTCTAATTTAAAAATTCTATGAGTCTAGGGCATGTATAATAAACTCATAATACAATACCCTGCCTGTCCTGTAACTAAGTGCTCATAACCACTCCTACCATGCAGGAGTCATCATGCGACATGGGGTAAATATCCTAGCCAATAAGTGTCAGCTAGGAATTTAATCCTATTCAAATTGCGGTGTTCTTTTGCAAGGTTCTGTTCTTGTTGGTCATTTGTCCATGAGCAATCTCTTATAGTCTCAAGGATTTAATTACCACATAAGTATTGATTACTCTCAAACATAAAGATACAGCTCATCATTCTCCAGACTGTGTTTGCAGGCTGGTAGTGTTCCACAAGATATTAATAGTAACTTGACCAAAAAATAGTTCCATTGAAAGTAATTTTAGGATTCTGCTTGATTCTCCATTTGGAGATAAACAAAGCTCCCGAAGCATATTAAGTACTTTGAAAAATCTTGCAATACAGAAAGTTTTTTTAAGCCAACGTTTTCAATACTTCTTTGGGAAGTAGGAATAGTCTTCAGTTAACTGTCTTCTCTTGAACCCCATAAATCCTTAATACGCATAGTACATAGAGCTCCTGGTGCTTAGATAAGTCATCTTGAGTTAGGGCCCTTGCCTACTTGCTCATTGCCCAGTGGAAGACTAACTGCTCACGTTTTGTTTCTCGAGCTGCAAATACTTTTTTTTTTCATTTTTATTTTCTGCAGTGAAAAATCTTCACTACATGCCAGAATATCTGCTTGATTAAAATCTGAATGATTGTTCAAGTCAGATCAATAAGAAAAGAGAAGAAAGCATTAGAGTCCACAATTTAGTTTTGCCCACTGAACAAATGCTGCAATTTTTATGATTTTCCCACTGTACTTCAATGGTAGTAAAAACAGATGTTTGGGATGGTTTGAAACGCTTAATTGAATACTTACTGGGGAACCCCCAAAACAACTAACTGTTGAGATGTAAAATATTTCAGATATAATTTATTTATTCATGTTCCTGAAATCACAAAGGCTTGTTTTAGTCCATATAAGGAAGTAAATTGGGTGATATTATTTTATGGAATCCAAGCATGCAAAATAAACTTCCTTATGACTGATGCTGTTAGGGAATAATACATTTTATTGTCAATATTATAACTTTGGTGAATATCGTAATTTTGTGTGTGCAAATATGTATTAGGGATTATTTAGAACTTATTCTAAGCCTTGAGGGACTTCAACTTTACTGCTCACCTGTGAACTGTATTATTAAACAAGGTCATTCTTATCACACGTCAAATTATAGCTTACCTTAGTTAATTGTTAATAGCTCAGACTTGTGGCTTTCAGTGACCAGATTAACAGGTCAGTACTGCATGCAACAGTTATTTAAAGTGAAACTAATTCCTCACTATCTTTATTCTAAGCATTAAACAACTTAGGTTTTATGGGAGAATATCAAATGCATAATTTTAAGTGTCATAAGAATATATTTTTTTCTTATGAAGATAATGCCAGTGATCTTAGAAAGTACGGTTAGATCCAGGAGGCAGAGGTTTCAGTGAGCCGAGATTGCGCCATTGCACTCCAGCCTGGGAGACAGAGAGAGACTCTGTCTCCAAAAAAAAAAAAAGAAAGAAAGTAGGGTTTAGATCTTCAAGCGTTATTCACAGTTAGAACTCCCCACCACTTTCTATGGCTAAAATTATGGTTTAACTCCAAGGTACTATTTTAAAGTGGACAATATGTTATTCTACTATAGTTTCTAGGGTTCCTTAATCTTTTCAGATGTTAGATTTTCTGCAGGGAGAAAGATTTACGAAGACAAATAATATGTTTATGTTGGTTCATAAACAAAAGTGAGACGTTTAAATGTTTTGTTATTATTATTATATTATTTTGTTGTTGTTTTCTTTTTGAGACGGAGTCTCTCTCTGTCCCCCAGGCTGGAGTGCAGTGGCGCAATCTCTGCTCACTGCAAGCTCCGCCTCCCGGGTTCACGCCATTCTCCTGCCTCAGCCTCCCGAGGTTAGCATCAAGGTTAAGTTGGCTAGAAGAAATAATGTACTAGCATCAAGCAAATGGCATCAAGCAAACTAATAGCAACAGGAAAAGAAGTGGAATATATTGTAGCTGTCAAGCAAAAAACAATAGTGGCTACATATTATCATTTCTTGTCTCTCCCCAAATATATGGTTAAAAATTAAAGCTAGTTTAGAAAATAAAATAGGATCTTATAATTTTTAAAATGCTCATAGGAAAATGATTTGTTTTTTTATTCAATATGAATTATGGATTGTACAAAGGCAGAATTTTCCATAACAAATTGTGGAATTTTCTACTAAAAAAATTCATACAATGATCAAATATTTATTTGGTTGTTAAAAAGCAAAACTGAGTAAAGCAAATAATTCGAATATCAGACATCCAAGATAAATTTTTGAATCTTTCTCTTGACTCTACAATAGAAAAATCTGGATCCCAGAGAGATTATGTGACATGGGGGAAATGTCCTAGCAAATAAGTGTCAGCTAGGAGCTTAATCCCATTCAAACCCAAGTACAATACCTAGAATGTTTTCTTTTTTGAGATACTCAATCAAAAAGCATTTATTGAATTTTCACAATGACTAGTACACTGAAGTCTGACTCCAAAAAGATACACAAATAATGAAACCCAGTGGTGTTATTTTTCAAAAATTCAACAAGAAATAATAATTATACAAAAAATTAGAGGAGAGTGGAATGCTTGTCCCATGAGCACTAACACTACTGAAAGTTACTCTGTGTAATTCATGACACATTGACATAAATAATTAGAGCCAGGAGGAATGAAGACAATCATAAATTATCTTGGCAATTATCTAAATTTCTCCTTTTTTTCTCTTGCTCTTTGGGTTAATTTTAAATAAAAATGTTGAAGAATATATTTATACACTAACCCAGAAAAATTCAGTGAGAGACTTTATAAACCTCAACTCCACTTTGCCTTGTGCATCATCACTGTAATGATTTTATGACGATCTCTATTGATATTTAAGAACTGATATTCAAGAATATAGTGCAACATCCTGAAAATTATCCTTTAATCACTGTATTCAGACATAAAGCTAGATGGGATAATATTTATCTTAATGTTATTGACACTGGTCTATAATAAATAAATGTAAAGAAACCCACAAATACCTCTTTCAAAACTTTAGGCTTCAACTAATTACATTAGCTCAAATTGGTAGAACACCAGGAACCTGTGGGTGTTTTCTATCAGGCCACCTTGGATGCCTAACTACTCAAATGCTTTATCCAAGTTGCACTTCTGCAGAAGAAAACCCAAGAACCTCTTGGGATATGGGGGCCAAAATTGGGGTGAAATGTCAAATTTTGCCAAGAATAGTGAACAACCTTCAAGAATGAGGCTTTTTAACAAAAGCTCCTCTCTAAGATCAGTCCCGATAATGAAAACAGAAAATGTATCTCATGAGTGTACATGAGTGTAGAAAATCAACCCTCCAAGGACCTATTTTCCATCAAGCTCTCCCCAGAGTGCGTGCCAGAAAGAAAACTGGAAAGGGAAGCTTTGCAGTTAGGTGTAGAAACAGACAACTCACTAATCAAGCAGGGAGGTACCACAACTTGGCAGGGTGTCACTCAGGTTTGAGACAACTTGAGTCTGTTTGTCATCAGTTTCTTTAGCACTCTAAATTCAAGTGATATAAATATGGAGTGTTTTTATTTTTTCCCTCCAGTGATTGCTTTCCATCAGACTCTCTTGAATCTCTTTCCTGCCCCTGAATGACATGTTGGAAAGACTTTGAAAGCTTTTAGCTCCATGAACAAAATTGAGTGCAGTTGAAAATGGCGCTCTGAAACTTGATTCTAATGTCCTCCCATTTGGAGGAGATGGGCCTCGTCAAGCTTTCTATTCCTAAGAAACTTCCTCTTTGTCCTCCCTCTTCCACCCACATTTCTCCAATGTATTGGGGTTAGGAGAAAAGGAGGAGGAGACAAGCAAGGCTTTATTGAACCCAGCCCTATCAGAGTACTCACCTTGATGGCTGTGCTGTTGCTTCTTGTCCGGCTTACTAACCACTGTCAATTCTTTCTCTGCAGTAAACATCCAAATGCTGGCTCATTTGTGGGGTACTATGCAAAGTTCTTCAAGCTCCTCACTCCCTGGCATATTGCACTTTTCTTTGATGTGAAAGATTCAACTCTAACTTGACTTTTTATTCCAATACTTTCCCATTCTCCATCTTTCGCCTCTTGGAAACCTGCAAGATGGCTGGAGCTTGTCTATTTCTACTGTCAGCCTTCACTCCTGATACACTTGTTACATCTCTGTCCACCAGCTTGTGGGGATACAGATGGCTCCAAGACTGCCTCCTCATCTTATTCTGCTGTCTCTTTTCAGTGCCACATCAGTAAGAGTGATGTCCATAAAGAGAAGTTAGACACCAGGACACCCTTCTGAAAGGCATCTTTAAAATTTATGCGGAATTTTCTTGAAACCACACTTACTTGGCTTCAGAGAGAGAAGCAAGAGCACCTCTCCTTTCTTTTCCTATTTGGAGGGTAAGAAAATGTGTCTTCTCTGAGAAGTCGTAGTAACTTCTCCCCTTCTCTCAATGTCTCAGCTTTCTTTCAAATTGCTTGGATACCAAATTTAACATGGCTTGTTTCTTCCTCCCTAAGTAAGCTCTTAATATATTTAGTGCAGATTTAAGGGAGCTCTCTTTAGAATATGGGGCACTTAGCCAGGCACAGTGTCTCAAGCCAGTAATCCCAGTGCTTTGAGAGGCCAATTCAGGAGGATGACTTGAGGTCAGGGGGTTTGAGACCAGTCTAAGCAACATAGTGAGACACTGTCTCTACAAAAACAAACAAACAAACATAGCAAATAATTAGTGGGGCATGGTGGTGCATACCTGTGGTTCCAGCTACTCAGGAGGCTAAGGTGGGAGGATCGCTGGAGCCCAGGAGGTTGAGCCTGCAGTAAGCCATGATCGCACCACTGGGCTCTAGCCTGGGCAACATAGTGAGACCCTGACTCTAAAAAACAAAAGAACAAAGAAAGAAGTTTTTAATACTTCTTTAGACTATATTTTGTGTAACATAAGCTTTGGTGAATGATTCTTCGTGGTAAGAATTCCTGAGTATCAGGCAAGAAGGATTCATTTAGCATCTCACTGCGTAGAATAAATGTTTGTATTAATCCTACTAACAGTAGAGACTAGAATATCTAGAAAAAGAATGCTTAGCAGTTACAATCTGGTTTAAAGTGGGAAAGGCTTGGAACTTGTCTTGAGGTTGCTTGCAATCCTTAGTACTCTGGTCTTTTGGTATATTTTTGGTGCTAGTAGTGGGAATTGTGATAGAGATTAAGCATTAAAACATTCTCTCACTTTCCTCAAGTGCTTGCTCCAAATACACTCTCGCCTAACCCAAGCCACCCCTCAGCTGCTGGTAGTGCAGTTGGCACCTACAAAGAGACATCACCCCGTGAAATGGGGACAAACTTGCTGCTTCTTGCAAGGTGAGATCAGTTCCACTTTGTGAGTGACAGAGTTCCTGCTGTGCTGACACCGCCAGGGCCAAACAGGCTGCCAAGTCCCAGAATGTTGACAAGGCTGCTGCTGGTGTGGGTGAGACCCTGCACAATTTTTTTTTTTTTTGGTGTGGCTTTTGTTGTCATAAACAAAATTCGTGGGACCGTGTGAGGTATAGTAACTTATCTATTTTGGTTGGGATTTAGAATAATGAGTAACAAAGAGGTATTTATGTATTTATTTATTGTCTGATCCATGCATGAGAATTCTCTGTGATATTCAGGCATTATCATTTCCTGGTTCGGTCTAGAAACTATCTCTTCATGTTCTTCATTGTCAAGTGTACCCTTCCTGGCTAATGTCATGTGTCCATCAAAATAAAAAGGGAGCAACATTGTTATTATTCAAAATGTCATGGCTCTTCAGAACCTGTTCGTATTGAAATAATACAGACATTCTTGCCTTTGCAGTTTCCTGCTGTTCTTTATTTTATTTAATGCTGGTTGCATGGATACTTATAACACTATAAGGTTATTACTGAGCTTTGTTGATGATGACTCCAGATGCAAGTCTTACGCAGGGTATTCAGAATTATGTGAAAGTTGATTTGTTTTCTTGTCATGTTAAATTTACTCTCAGAATGTCATAGTCTAAGCACAGGAAAACATGTGGTTTTGCCTCATCTTCCTTGAAAGCTTAAGGTCACAACCACCGTATTCCTAGCACGGGATCCTACCATGTTGACCCTGTAGTCTTCCCACCAACACAAGTCGACAGGGTAACTGAGGGGCCCATGGGCAAAGCAGAGTTGATCCATTTTCACAGAACTGTCAGCTCCTAACTTGACATGCCTTAAAAATGATCAGAGATACCATAACATTATCATATCCATTGGAGGCAAGAGTGGACGTTGATCAGAATTGCCTGCCCTTTGTTCATGTGGAGCAGTGGTCTCAAAATCCCTTGAAAACAAGAGGCCCACTTGAGAACTGCCTGCTGTATGATGTAAAGCCTACAGGGAGTGAGTTGATAACCCTTGGGGCCACCCATGGCATGGGGAACTTGGAGTAAGGGAAGCCTGTTGCTACTTGTTACTTTGGGATAGACCAGAGGCAGTGATGGATGAGGGAAAGCCGATGAACTGTCTCACAAACATGGCTCAAGCCCAAGTGTGTTCCTTTGTAGCCCATAGCCTTGAATGTCTTCTGCTTTCTCCATGAGTGAAAGTCAATCCAAATTAGTGTGTCAGCACCATTTTGGCAGCATAATCTCAACCAGCTTCTGGAAGAAATACTGCAGCAGCCAGAGGGAGTCATCTATTTACCAAGCTCTTTCTTGAACTGGGTACTGGCCACAGGATCCTGGAATAACCTGAAAGCTGTGAGGACTACAGCTCCTCCTTGGGTCATCTGCTTGACCCTAGTTATGGGGTACGTTAATGGGACAGAGTTGGAGACTGCCCCAAAAGGGATAAATGGGGACCAGGGCCAAGTGGTCCAGGCCTGTGGCACCACACCATGACAATACTTCAGGCCCCAGCTTGTCCTACACACTACAGGGATCTTGGTAAATTTTGAGGAAGGCACCCCAGAGTGGGAGTAAGGACCCCACTTGCCCAGGTCTAAGGGTGGTACTGCCTATGAATGGCATGAATGAGAGGGTGCCAATGTGTCATCTCTCTCAGCAAACATCACCTAGTTACTAACTGGTAGAATGTCATTTAGGACTCAGATCACCCACATTAACCCTGATAAAAGGGACTTTAAAGATCTCTGCCTGTTCTTTCTGAGATTGAATCCAGTGGTATCTCAGCTATTTTTGTACACTGAATCTCTCTCTGGATAGGATCATGGGTGGATTTGATGTTACAGCTTTGCCTTTACTTCCCCTGGGGGTGTCTAGACCAAGCCTGAGGCCTCTGCCCTTCTCTACTCCTCAGAGGCTCTTTTTCTCTTTTCTCTAGTCACTCATATGTAAATGACCCAAATTCTTGGTCTTCCTCTTTTTCTGAAGTGGAGTCTCTAAAGACAGAAGGCTAGAATCCTGACTGTCTAGCCCTCATCACCCGGCTGATTTCTCTTCAAGTTTTTGAGTGAATTGGACAGAGGAGAAACTCTAGGATAAAATTAACCTCATTTTGCTGTCTGGGGCTCTGGCCTCCAATTTTCATGAAATCTACTTAAGGGAATGGAGTAGACTACCTGTGAATCTGAGGAATTTCCACTGTCTGGACTAGAGACAACCTTCTGCTTCCTGCTCCATGTTTTCTCTCCCTGGCCCTCACCCCAGTTCCCACTGGTGTCCTAAGCAGATGAATGGTGTGTATTATGTCAGGCAGGAAGGCATCCTGTATCAGACCCAACAGGCAAAGAAACAGTAGGCATCCAAAAGTACCAATCCAAAGAAGGAAGGAAGGATTACAAAAGAGGCCGACCTGAAAGAGGTGGATCCCCAAAGCAGTGATCCTTAAAGGAACATCTCAAAAGAGACATCCAACTGGGGGTTATTGCTTTTAGTATCTTTTTCATACCTCACCCATGCCAAAGGTGTATGCCCCAGCACCAATGCTGTCTTTGGTTTTGGCCAAAATCAGCAGCCACTGTCTGGCTCAGAGGGGTGAGGACGTGAAGTCAGGTGGAGACTCTTGCGCGCCCTCTAGAGCTGAATGCACGCTTCTAACTTTCAACAGCGTTTTCTTTCCAGAGGCAGGCACCCTGATTAGGGGCCTGAATTCCTGGGTGACACTAAAAAGATGTAAATTATTTTATATTTTCTCAAGATGAGAGCTTTTGTTTGTTTTTTTTTTTATGCTAGAAATGAAGATATAGAAAAGAGAAAAAAATAACAATTTTCCCTAGATTCTTCTCCCACAGGGACTTCAAGTCTGTAACTGGTTGTGAGAAAAAGAATACCAAGATAATACACTATGAAAAGATTTGGGGAAAGGCTAATTTATAGGAAAAAAATTAGAGCACCTGAAATATTAAAATAAATGATGTGACTCATAAGCTAGAACTGTGATTAACAGTATGTTATGTAATATGTTATCAGGACCTGGGGAATAACAAAGTACATTTTATGAAACAACTTTTATGAGAATAAATGTAACTCATCTAGTCTCTTTCTGTTAACAATCTATACTCCCATGTTAATTTTTCAGACATGTATAACTTTACTGAAACTTCTTCCTTGGAACAAAAATACCTTGACAATAGCCAAGAATAACAAAAAGAATGATTTTTGTTCCTTCAAACAAAAATTTGAACTTTACGTGTTATATTCAAGTGATGTAAATATTTCCCCAATTCTCTGAATATTTCATAATACTCAGAGATTTCATACTTTTAGATAGCTCTAGAAAGTGATAAGGAAAACTAATCCTCTCTAAATTTCTGCAGTATAAAAAATAAAATCTGTTATTCAGGCATTGGGACAATAAACATTACATTGCTTAAACAGATCTATGTTGGTTTCAACCAAATATTATGTAAGAGAAGCCTGCTTCTTAGGTATTTTTAGGTATGAGGTTTCTAAAACCAGTTATACATAATGAAAATATGTAGTTTCACAATAATTTAATCGAGTTGTCTTTCAAGCAAAAAAAAAAAACAAGGCAATTTTAAATACAGTAAAGTTATTCCTTCTTGGGGACTTACTAGAGATTTTTGGAAGCAAATTTGCTCCTTGGGATTAGTATTATATTTCTTGCTTTGACATTCTTATTTTATTTTATTTTATTTTATTGATTTTTTGAGACAGAGTTTTGCTCTTGTTGCCCAGGCTGGAGTGCAGTGGTGCAATATCGGCTCACTGCAGCCTCCACCTCCTAGGTTCAAGTGATTCTCCTGCCTCAGCCTCCTGGGTAGCTGGGATTACAGGCGCATACCACCATGCCAGGCTGATTTTTTGTATTTTAAATAGATATGGGTTTTTGCCATGTTGACTAGGCTAGTCTCGATCTCTTGGCCTCAGGTGATCCGCCTGTCTCCGCCTCCCAAAGTGCTAAGATTACAAGCATAAGCCACTGCGCCCGGCCTTTCTTGCTTTGAAATAGTTTGGTGTAGAACTTAGTTTTCCAATGCATGAATATTAATCTGCTCCATGAACAACGAATTCTTTGCCCTGTGTATGATGGCAATTATGCATATTTTGACCAACTATCTACTGTGCACTGTACAGAAAGCACATGGAGGATGTGAAGATTTGCACCCAAAGAAACTTAAGATCTTGGTCAGAAAATATGACCTGATGTAAATATCCATAATGTATGAGGGCTTCCAAGAGTTAAAAATGAAACTCTACAGACTCATAGAACACCGGTTATAAGCATTTTTTGTAAAACCTTTTTTTAAGATAAATCATGAAGCATTTTAGCCAGGGAGAATAGAATGGACAAAAAGATCAAAGGAATGAATAAGCTGTGTTTATAATTTACCATTGCAGAATAACTTCGGCACTGTGAAAAATCCTCCCCTTCTGGCTGGAATTAACTACCCTCAAAAAATGTGCACAAGCAAATTCAAGACAATGAGACTAACAGTAAAATAGACATTCTTCAGGTTTTAGACGTGTCCGGCAAAGCTAGACGCTAAGGTGACTTTTTAAAGCAATTGAACTTTTAAGTCCTTTCTGTTTTATTATAAAAATGAAAATGTGTTCCTAGAATACAAACATGGTTTACTCTAGATAAAAAGAAAAAACATAACCTAGGATGAGGCCATAGATTTAAACATGAGAAAATAGGAGTATTTTTCTTTCAAATAAAATTAAGAAACAACGCAAAGATGTATTTTATTAGAGACTAAATCTTATCTCAAATAAGCATCTTTAAAAGCCAGACATACAAGTTAAAAGCAGCTGGGTTCTTTACTAATGCAGAGGTCTTTGTTCCTTACTGTAAATATATTAATTGCTCATCTGTTTAACTAAGGTCTGCGAGGCTCGTAACACATTAAAGATATTTGCTGCTGTTGATTTGTCCTGAGCTACGGATTTCTGCATACGTAAGAGGCTTTTTGGACTTATACCAGACTATATGTGTATATACTATCATTTTTCCTTAAGTGGTGGTTTTTCAAAATAATGTTTTTCTAAGGTGAGGCATACCTTTGTGATATTTATTTTTCAAGGAAGCAGTACCTTTCAACATAGCCATAGAATTTGGTGGAGGGACTGTTTAATTAAAAAGGCATTATGCTAATTACAGTGCTGGACTCTTTCTAACGTTAAAAAATTTATCTGAATTTTATGGTATGAATCTTTTAAACACTAAGAATATAAATTTAACAGAAATAAACAAAAATGCCCAGCTTGAAGACAGAAAGGACTGTCTTAAAATCTAACTTTTAAAATATATTTTTGAACTACAAATAAAATCAGTTATATAAAATATTTTATTTGTCATTTGGTCTTAAAATTTTTCCTGGGTTAAGCCAAAATTCCCATCAGCTAAGGAGCCTTCTTTTTTTTTCTGTGTACATTTCTAAGTTTTCATACAAGAAGAAGAGACTAAGATAAAGAAAATGTCGTATCAAATAAGAAGGCTGGAGGAAGGAGGATAATTTCATAGTTGAAAAGTTAATGTTTCCAATCATAGTGCAACTCAAGAACCAAGGGCTGAGGATCCTATGATACAGAACACATTCTATTTAAAAACTGGTGGCATTTATCCATTGCTTAGAATCATTGAGGTGGGTTGCATTTCATCTGTTACTTAGCAACTACATAAATTTAGTAAATATCTTATTACCCAGGATCCAAGTAAATGTATTCTGCTTTAGTAGAAATCATTATAATTTTGTTGTCAACAAATATTAATCCTGCAATGCTATTTTTTCTATTGGATTCATAGCAAATAAAATTTAAAATCAATCAGTGGTTTGCTTGAGGGAATATATGTTTTCTACTTGTGAATGTTTGTTTCCAATCTAACCGCTCTCAATAATATTAATATATCATAGTTTTGTCATCTGAGGAAGAAATTCAGTATCAACTTACAATAGTTTTAGATTTGAGCAGATTTTCTTTGAATCTAAGCTCTCCTCCTTAAATAATATGATCTTGGCCAAGTTACTTCCATTTCTGAGCCTTTCCTCTTCTATAGGATTGGTATAATTACACCAAATTCACAGTTTAGAGGTGATAAAATAGTGTTCTGACCAGATGCTTGGCATCTTTCTGTAACTTAAAATCTATCAGTATACCTTCTTTTCTCCATCTGTTGATGTACGATCAAAGCTTTTTATTTGAACAGATGCCCACAGATGGATATCCCTTGGTCTCTCTTGCATAAACCATATTCATAATGCAATGCCAAAGATTTCCATTAAAAATGTTTAATGTTAAATGATAGATTATAAACACTTGTAAAGCAAATTAAGAATTCTTCGATGCGTTTACATTTTTAATTCATATTTTACAGTTATTTGTTCCACACCTAATTCCACAGATGGTTTGGGTGATAGGGGAGAATAGAAGCCACTTGTCTTTACTAAGTTTCTAAGTTTGTAACTTATCTTTATATTGCTATTTTCTTCATACACCTACTTTTAATTCAGGTTTTGATTGTCTAATTAAAGTGTATAATGAATATCAGGAGTAGAAAATATAAACAGATGAGATCAGATGGGTCTGGGCATCAAGTGACTAGGCCCATGTTAGTATTTTTGCAAGGAAAATGGAGAATTCCAGGTGAATCTAAGAGCCAAATCAACAGCATATAAGTTACAAAATTTCTGGCAACCTTAAGCCATCTGCAAATACATGTTTATCAAAGTAAAGCAATAGTTTAGCATTTTATATAATCTAAATGATAAGTTTAGCTTAATTAATGCATGTAAACAAATACTACATCTTCCATTTTTTATCTACTTTCACAGACATTCTGTACTCAGGGTGCAAAGTGGGAGCAGAGCGTCAGCCCCTTTCTGCTCTTCCTTGGGGGCTGGGATAACTAAGAATGACGCTCATGTCTGTAGTATTTTATTTCTAACTGTATGTTGATCTGACTATAGAGTTTGGAGATGGCTAAGTGGGAAGAAAAGAACTGGGAAATGATCCTGGGGACACTTCACTGAGAGTCATGAAGTCTGCATTACAGAGTTTGTACCACAATGACCAGTGTATTTTTACCTATGTATCTATCTAACTATCTATCTACCTATCTCTGATAGTCAGTCTATTTGTCTATCATCTATCTGTCTGTCTATCTATCTATCTATCTATCTATCTATCTATCTATCTATCTGTCTATCTATCTATCATCTATCTATCTATCTGTCTATCCAGTCTATCTACCTACCTACCCATCTATCTCTATCTAATCTATCATAAGATTGAATACACAGTTGAGATTTCTGTTTCATGGATTCTACATGAGCAGTTTGTTTTTACAAAACCATGTAACCATGTACTGCTTATCAACAGCATAGCTGTTCATGTCCTTTGAAAATTCCACATTGAAGCAACATTTATTGAATTACCAGCTTCACAGTGTTTTAAGTTGGAAGAGTCTTTCATTTAAATGTAGCAGACATTCTTTCATTTAAACTATATTTATTTTGAATAGTTCACATTTCACATACTTTGTTATTTTATAGTTAACCACTTTAATGTATGTTTTTTAATATAATTAAATGTATATATAACTATATATAATATAGTTGTAATTAAATCAATATAATTAATATGTATACATTTAATTAATGTACATGAAATTTATGAACCATTAACACTTAAAGTGCTAATCAGGTTAGGCACGGTGGCTCATGCTTATAATCTCAGCATTTTGGGAGGCTGAGGTGGGTGGATCACCTGAAGTCAGGAGTTCAAGACTAGCCTGGCCAGCACAGTGAAATCCCATCTCTACTAAAAATACAAAAATTAGCTGGGCATGATGGCACCCACCTGTAATCCCACCTACTCGGGAGGCTGAGGCGTAAGAATCACTTGATCCTGGGAGGCGAAGGTTGCAGTGAGCCGAGATCGTACCATTGCACTCCAGCCTGGGTAACAGCGTGAAACTCTGTCTCAAAATAATAAATAAATAAATAAATAAATAAATAAATAAATAAATAAGTAGATAAAGCGGTAAACAGTACCCAATAAAAATAAAATTTTCAATTTTATCTGATTTTTTTTCTGACTTCCAATGGCTATAGCTCTGATGATTGTGCTGCTTTTAAGCTTATCCGAAAAACAAGGATTTAAAAGAGTAATAAAGTGCAGCATCTTCATTCTATAATAAATCAGAAAAGGTCACGCTCCTGTGACTCGAATACTATAAACACTTGAAGTATTATAATGTTAACTAGGATAAACCGTAATCACTGTAGTTGGGATTGCGTTTAGCTACAAGTAATAGAAAACCAAATTTAAAAATTCCTTGTACAAAAGATGGATTTATTTATTTATTTTTTTCACATGGCAAGTGGTCCAGAGGGAGGCTGCCCAGGACTGGTGTGGTGGCCCCAAGACCCTCCTTGGAATTTAGTCTTCATTCCGTGTCTTCCACATGTAAATTGTGTGCTTATGCTTGTCACCTCTGATTCACCTCCAGTGTTGCACTGAGTTTCCGGCAGGGAATGGAAAAGGGCAAGGCCACATGTGAGCTGAATCTTGTCCCTTTAAAAGAGATTTCCCAGCAGCCCCACTCAATGCCATTATGTACATAATCTTAGCCAGCAATCAGTCATCTCCAATTGCAAGGGAGCCTGTAAGTTGTAAATCTTTACTGAGCATGTTGTATCCCCAAACAAAGGGAGGGCTCTTTAGGCAGGAGGGAGGAAAGAATGAACACTGGGTAGGCTGATATCCGTGCCTCCCACAACCCACTGAGACCCATGCACTTCTGTCATTGTAGAATTCTCCCAACAATCTGTGTCTTAGTCTGTCTCTGTTGTTATGAAGAAATATCTGAGGCTAGGTATAAAGTATAAAGAAAAGAGGTTTATTTGTTTTTTTGTTATTTTATTTTATTTTATTTATTTTACTTTTTTATTTTTTATTATACTTTAAGTTTTAGGGTACATGTGCACAACGTGCAGGGTAGTTACTTATGTATACATGTGCCATGTTGGTGTGCTGCAACCATTAACTCGTCACTTACATTAGGTATACCTCCTAATGTTATCCCTCCACACTCCCCCCACCCCACAACAGTCCCTGGTGTGTGATGTTCCCCTTCCTGTGTCCATGTGTTCTCATTGTTCAGTTCCCACCTATGAGTGAGGACATGCGGTGTCTGGGTCTTTGTCTTTGCTATAGATTGCTGAGAATGATGGTTTCCAGCTTCATCCAAGTCCCTACAAAGGACGTGAACTCTTCGTTTTCTATGGCTGCATAGTATTCCATGGTGTATATGTGTCACATTTTCTTAATCCAGTCTATCATTGTTGGACATTTGAGTTGGTTCCAAGTCTTTGCTATTGTGAATAGTGCCGCAATAAACATACGTATGCATGTGTCTTTATAGCAGCATGATTTATAATCCTTTGGGTGTACACCCAGTAATGGGATTGCTGGGTCAAATGGTATTTCTAGTTCAAGGTCCCTGCTCACGGTTCTGCAGGCTGTACAAAAAGCATGGTGCTGGCATTTGCTTCTGGGGAGGGCTTCAAACTGCTTCTACTCATAACAGAAGGAAAAGGAGGGCTGGCGTGTGCAGTTATCACACGGCAAGAGTGGAAGGAAGAGAGAGGGGAGGGAAGCATCATGCTCTTTTTAACAACTAGCTCTTGCAGGAAATAATAGAGAAAAACTCACTCCTCACTGCAAGGATCACACCAAGACACTCCTGAGGGATCTCTCTTCATGACCCAAACACACCCCAGCAGGCCCCACCTCCAACAGTGTGGATCCAACTTCAGCATGAGATTTGGAGGGGTCAAGTATCCAAACCATATCAATCTGACAGGTGTCTCTTCATTTCCTCTTCGCATATGTGTATTTGGGGGCTGGAAAATGAGGAAGGGTTAGCAGGGAAGTGTAACATACTCTAAGATGTTTTTCTCAAGTTTGGAGTGGGGCCTGGGAATCCCAAGTTCTGTGCTTGTGAGGAAGAATAGTTTGCTAAGTGACAAAAAGGATGTTATAGTTTAACACAAGCTGTGACACTGAGGAGTGGAGCTGGGAACAGGGGCATCTGCTGCATAGAGCGATGCTCCCAGAGCGATCTAAGAGAAGTAATTTGCAATCTGATTACAGTACAGACAAATCTTGAGAAGCTAGTAAGTCCTTTTTGATACAGGATTTTTAAATGAAAACACATTTTAGTGCTTTGTTCTTTGAGTCTTGCTGGCTGAGTGAATGTTGTTTCTTTAGATGTTACAGTGTAATGTGAACTTTTAATATGTGCGCTTAAAACGTAAAATGTTTATGTAGCTAAGTAGGTATTTTTTGAACCTCATAGTCAGCCATATATGTGAAAAAAATCATATGTATATGCTATGATAAAGAAACTAATTTCACTTAACATGCTATTGCCTTCAATTATCTGTGATATGATTTTTAATGATAAAAAAGTGTATATAATATGATTTATTTTTGTAATAACATCATTTGAAATGGGTCATTTTTTATTTTCAGATGTATCCCAATACTGTGTCTTTCTGGAGTAATGAAACTAAAAGATGCTATTTAACTCCAAATTCGTGTGTTATATTTATGTGTCAATGTATTAAATTTATTTGAAGTTTTGATATATTTGTCCCAGCTTTATAAAACTTCATTAAAAAAAAATGTACCACAGCTTGGATTTTTTTTTTCTAAAACACCACAAACACTGCTCAAAAACAATTTTCCAGCTGGGCACAGTGGTTCACACCTGTAATCCCAGCACTTTGGAAGGCTGAGGCAGGAGGATTACTTGAGCTCAGGAGTTTGAGACCAGCCTGGGCAAGACAGTGAGGCTTCATCTCTCCAAAAAATTAAAAAATTAGCCCTAAGTGGTGGCGCTTATCTGTAGTTCAATCTGCTTTGAAGGCTGAGATGGGAGGATTGTTTGAGCCTGGTAGGTCAAGGTTGCAGTAAGCTGTGTTTATGCAATTGCAATCCAACCTGGGCCACAGAGTGAGACCCTGTCTGAAATTAAAAAAAAAAAAAAAAAAAGAAACAAAATTTTCCATGACTTTAAAAAGTATGTATTCACTGCAGCTGGACGATACGCAAAATGTTTATAACCAAAATTTTTCTTTGTGTGTTTACTGAAATTCAATTTTGTTTCCTCATTTTCCTATTGCAAATAAAAACTTCAAGAAAAATAAATGTTCTGTAGATATAATAGCACAAATTCAGTTATCTTCAGATACTAGGTTGTTTTCTTTGCGTATTGGATTAGTTATAGCCTTATCGTTTATGAAAAGTAAATACAATCGTTTTAAGTAAAAGGGTTTTTTTTATATTTTCAGAGATTTTTATCTTGGTATTCTGATGAAATTGGTGAAAAGAAATTGTGCATATTTTGAAGAGTTTACTTTCATTATCGTATAAAACTGTTTTTTAACAATTTTTCTCACTTTTTTCTTATCAGTGGCCCAGAACAATTGTCTCATTCAGTCTTTCATTTATCTAATATGTCTATTATCTCACTGAAATTGTCCTGAAATTGTCCAAAAATTCTCAGAATACCTACGTTATCCCAGGTTGGTGTTTTTTCATGGTACTACATTATCTGAGTCCTGTCATTTCCTTTTTACCAAAACTTGCCCATCTTATATTCCAACACAACAGATAGTGTGTTATTTCTGCCTGCACTAAAGAGGTTACTAAAGAGTTCAAATAAATTAATGTATCTTAGTGCAAATGTATACAGGAGTCCTCCTGAGACAGTATTATCACCTTCAATTTTCCAACCTGGCTTCTGCCCAACAATAGTGACAAAAGATGTTAATACATGCTCATTTTAAAAAGTGATATGAAAACATTTTTAGAAACAGTGCATGGCAAGTAGTATGCTCTTGCTGTTACCTTTTCTCTAGTCAATTGCTATCTGAACTAATCTGACTAGAGAACACATTCTTTATAGCATTTCTACAAGTGGAGATATTCTCAAATATATACATACATACATACATACGTGTATATACATATACACATAAATACATATATATTTTTAGTTACACTATTTGATTAAGCCAGCATTTCCCTAGTGGCTATAAAGAGGAAAATATATATGTACATACATACATACATATATATACACACACACACACATACGTACATATGTACGTATGTATGTCTGTGTATGTATGTATGTATTTTCCTCTTTATATCCACTAGGGAAATGCTGGCTTAACCAAATAGTGTACATACATACATACATATATATGTATGTATGTGTGTGTGTATATATATGTATGTATGTATATGTATGTACGTATGTATATATTTTCCTCTTTATATCCACTAGGAAAATGCTGGCTGAACCAAGTAGTGTAACTCTAAAAATTGCCACTTGGAACGCACCATTTTGCCCAGAAAAGTAGATGAATGGATCTTTGAGAATGACAAAGGAAGAAACCAGGAGTTGCAATACACACAGGGCAAAGAAGAGACAAAGAAAATAAATGAGAATGTAATTGAGACTCAGGAGAGGAGGCTGTCATATAACAAGTTAATAATCAAGAAAGCATAGTGGAGTGGTCTAAGGTAGTAAATGCTGCACAGACTAAATAAGATTTACCAATGAGTTTTAAGAAGTTAAAGAAGTTAGTAGAGACTAGTGGAAAGAGGAAACATAAATTGATGATAATGGAGCAAGAGGTGACAAATTAGAAGGTATGACTTTAAATAATCTTCCATAAAGTTTGGGTATAAAAGGAAAGAGAGTGAGAGGGAACGCATAGCAGAAGGTAAACTCTTTTTTTTTTTTAAAGTATAAGATTCTAACTTTTCTGAGGGGAATGATCTAAAATAAAAGGTAAAGAACCCTAGGAAGAGAGAGAGAGGTTGAGCAGACAGAAATTGGGAGCCCATCAGGTCTGGAACACAGGTAAGAAAGCGATCCTCTTAGACAAGGAGAGCGATGTCACGGAATCCGAGGCTTCAGGGACAGAACACTGTCTGTGTGTGTGTGTGTGTGTGTGTGTGTGTGTGTGTTTGTGTGTGTGTTGGCGGGGCAGCAGGGGGACTGGAGTGGGGAGGGGAGTAGGAAAGGGAGGCAATTCTCTTAGAGTGGTTGCTATTTTTTTTTTTATGAAACAGAAAAAAAAAGAAATTGTGCTAAGTGTAAGAAAGGTTGTTTTAGAGTAGAAGTCCTAATAATATTAATTATAATTTAAAATGACCATTAAGGACAATAGCCTGACTAATTAGACTAAAAGTCCGAGGTAAACGTCACTTCAGGCTAACGTTTCCTTTCAAATCCTGTCTCAACCAACCATCTTAAATAATCCCTAAGAACATATTTTATTTTATTTATTTATTTATTTATTTATTTATTTATTTATTTATTTATTTATTTTGAGACAGAGTCTCGCTCTGTCATCCAGGCCATCTCAGCTCGCTGCAACCTCTCTCTCCCGGATTCAAGCAGTTCTTCTGTCTCAGGCTCCCAAGTAGCTAGGACTACAGGCACAGGCCACCACGCCTGGCTAATTTTTCTTTTTAAAAAAAATTTTAGTAGAGACAGGGTTTCACCATGTTGGCCAGGCTGGTCATGAACTCTTGATCTCAAGGGATCTGCCTGCCTCGGTCTCCCAAAGTGCCGGGATTACAGACTTGAGCCACTGCGCCCAGCCAAGAATACCTAAGAAAATATTTTAAAAGACAAAATTACAGAGAGAAAAACGCTATGAAAGCCATAGACTATGGCTCATCAGGGCTATTATTTGCTGGATTGAGAAAACAGTTAGTGGTCTATTTAATATTACACTGTTCTATAGTTTAGCAAAACCCACTAAGAAGGGGGTTGAGGAGGCAACTCTATTGACAACCTGTGAATCAATCAATATCTAGCAGCAAAACAGAAATGACATTAGCTCCTTCCAAATAAAATAACTTAATACATAGGTGATGGAAGACCTGACAAGCCAAAGACAGACAATAAAAGGACCCCAAATTTAGCCACAATCTGAAGCCACTGTTACCCGATGACTGCAGGGACAAGTAGAGATAATGTTAACAGGAACTGGGAAGATGGCAAGAGCGGAAAACATCCAGGTGACTTTCTGTTGGCAGTTGTGACATAAAGAAAGGTCCTATCCGGTGAGAACTGACATGACTGAGGAGATGCCAGGAAGGAGAGGGGCAGGGGTGGGAGTGACACTCCATTATTAGGCTTCTCCCCTCCTCAAGCTCTGCTTCCAATGGACTGAACCCATCCCAAAGTCAGAGGATAAGGGAGCATGGAAAATGTTTCCTGAGATGCAGAGTAGACAGGAGACTGGCAGGGAATGTCTGAGAGGAAACAGAGCATATCCTGCAGTGCAAGGTTCACAATGACTAGAAAGATGGGAACCTACTTTAGTAGTAACACCAGGTGCTTATTTCTGGGGTGGCCATATCCAGGTCATCCAGTTGCTCCCCTCAAATTGTTAGATGAAATCCAAACCAGAAACAAATAGGCAGAGTTCCAAACCCTGCAGAATCATGTGATTCTGGAGGTTTCCAAGCCCTAGAGACCACAATTCAGGACTATCAGGAAGCAAAACTTCTCAGAGACCACAACTAGTGACTGTCAGGAGGTCCGTCCCTCAGGTGAATTCCTTTCTTCAACAGCAGGATGGTCATTTCTCATCACTCATCACACTAATGTCTCCATCCTTCCCCTTTAGGGAACTTAAACCTGGCCTCTTCAAAGCTGTTTTTGGCTTTGCTAAAACTTGTACAAATTTATATGATAGGTTGCATTGCCTGTATAACTTTGTACATAATGGAAATAAAGAATGGTTTACACACTCTACTCTGGCTTTCAATGAGCATGAGTTGTCTTTCAATTGCTGTGTTAGCAGAAAACACACTCAATTAATTTTTTCCTTTTGTTTGTTTCCTGCTTTGATTAGTTTTATACCTGACTCCAGACTCTGGGCAGAAGGTTGCTACATGCTGTCTCAAAGGAGATCAAAAGGGAAGATCCATTTCATGCTCACTTGTATATGAGTTACAGTAGCATTCTTGTGTCTAACACCAATGTTCTATGAATTTAAATCTTATATCCTGGTTGTATAGCTGATCACACTGCTGAATCATTAGATCTGTGAGGGCATGTTCTCTGCTCAAGATATGATTGCTGATTGATTGACTAGCAATTTGTGTTAATGCTTAAACAGTGTCTTCAAATTGTAACAATGAGAAACAGCTATATATGGCAATTACAGTGTCCCTCTAGTTACAGAAAAAGCAACAAGTTTGTATATAATAAACCTCTAAAAAATAGAGTGGCTTTTGTCTTAATAATATGAGAGTCTGTACAAACTACAATGAATAGGTACAGATGGACACACCTTCAGTTTTATTCTATTAAAATCCTGAGAAAATGACTTTTGTGAAGTGAGGGGAAATATTTGGAAATGTTCGTGACATAACTTGACTAAAGTAGGGTTACATATAAATGTAAAAATTTTAAAAATGGAAGCATAACAGCAATTATGTCTCCAGTAACATTTAAACAATTTTATTCCTTGAGGACAAAATACAGTCTCTTCTGAAAGAAACTGGTGTATTCTTTTGGACTTGTTTAACAGAGACTTAAATATAAATGTCTTCTCAGCATAGTGGGTAGGTCAAACAGAAAAATAAGATTGAGACAAAGGTCAAGATAGCTGACAGAACCCATCTGAGGGGGTGGATCATTGTTATTTAAAAACGTAAAGAAAGTAGGGCACAGGGAGCTTGAAAAATGAAAATAAAAATTCAGTGCTTATGCTGAAATAAAGAATAGCATAAGCTGTCCAAAACAATTCTTCTTTTCCTAAATCAGACATGAAGACTAGAAAAGAGAATAATTGTACATTACTTTTGTCTTTCATTCATCTTTATTGTCCTTTTTCTCATTTTAACTTTGTCTTCTTTGCCCAGGCTTTCCTTTCCATGTCAATAAATGCTTACTCTGATTTTCATTTATTGTAGAAATGAGGTTAAGTCCAGAGAAATAATTTATGCACTAATTCATTCACTTGTTTTATACCTTTCCAATTTCTACAAATACTTCTTGAGTGCCTTCTATGTATCAAGCACTGTTTTAAGTGCTAGGAAAAGTGTGGTAAGTAAAACAGACAAAAACCCCCGCCCTCTGGAGCTTATGTTCTAGGGAGGAGAGAGAACCAATACATTAATTAAATAACTAAAATATATAATGGGCCACATGGTGATATGTTTTACAGAAAGACATAAAGTAGGAAGGAGGTAAAGGTGGTCAGGGGAGTTTCATCTCCCTAGAGACCATCAGGGAGGGCTGTTCTAGGAAGATAACATTTGAGTCAACATTTGGCAGCAGTGAGATAATGAACCATGCGGATAATTGGGAGTAGAATGTTCTAGGCCAAGCTTGTCCAACCCAAGGTCCATGGGCTGTATGTTTCCCAGGACAGCTTTGAATATGGCCCAACTCAAATCCATAAACTTTCTTAAAACATTACGAGATTTTTTTTGTGATTTTTTTTTCTTTTTAGCTCATCAGCTATCATTAGTGTATTCTGTGTGTGGCCCAAGACATTCTTTTTCTTCCACTGTAGCCCAGGGAAGCCAAAAGATTGGACACCCTTGTATCTAGGCAGAAGGAATAGCAAGTATAAAGGATTTTGCCTGGGATATTTGAACAGCAGTGAGGAAGCTCTAGTGTATCAGAGCGATACACAGAGGAAGAGTAAAGGTAATGAGCTGGAGGTGGGGTGTGAAACCCTGAAAGACCCTAGACTTTTGCAATAGGCTTACCTTTTATCCGAGTGTAATGTGAAGCCATGAGCAGATTTTGAATCACAGGCTCACATGACCTGCCATGTTGAGCACAGGCTGAAGAGAGTGAGGGCATCAGTTAGAAGACAGGTTGAGAAGCCTCTATGACAATCCGGGTAAGAGAGAACGGTGGTTTGGGCCAGGGTGGTGACAGTGGAGTAGGTGTGAGCTCTGCATAGATTCTGAAGACAGGGGTCAGAGAACTTGCTAAGGGACTGGCTATATTACAGGAGACAAATGAACAGAGCTGGAAATGACTCCAGGGATTTTAGCCTGAACAACTGCAGGAATGGAATTACCTTTAATGAAATGTGAAAGCCTGTGCTAGGAGAAGGTTTGAGAGAAGAGAAGACTCAGGGCTCATGTTGGGACAGGCTAGGACTGGGACATGCCAGTGGAAATGGCAAGTAGGCAGATAGATGTCAGAGGCTGGGGTTCAGGGAGATGTGTGTGCTGAAGATAAACATTTGGTGTTTTTAAAAATTTTTATTTTTCTTTCTAGTGAAGGGAGTCTCACTCTTGAAAGGAAAAAAAAAGAAATTTGGGGTCTGTCAGCATGCAAATGGTTTGTAAAGCCACGGAACTGGAAGAGATATTAAAGAAAGATGAGAGTGAATAAAATAGAACATACTTAAAGGACTCTCATACCTCATGCAGGACTCTCATACCCAGCAGCATGAATCCAGCAGGGGAGGTTCACCTGGACCAGAGAGAGGCGGATAAGCAGAGACCAGAGCAGTTGTAGAAAAGTTGAGAGCATGTGATGATGTCATGACAGCTAGCTGGACAGAAAGCGTTTCAAAAAACAAGGAGAATCAATCTTGTCAAATGCTGCTGAGAGTTAGAGTAAGATGAAGACTGAGAAGTCAGCATAGGTTTTACCATAAAAAAGAAATGAGGCTTGAGGGTAATTCACAGTCTAGCTGATTCCAACAGGCAAAGTTTTATGACACGGTTATGGGCAAAGTTCCAAGGTAGCACAAAGGAGGTGGACAGCAATTTGGACAGAGGGCAATGGTGAAAAGAGCAGAGAAATTTTGATACGAACTTGTAAGTGTTGACATGAAAAACTGTTATGATCTAAGGCAAACGTTTGAAAATATTGTGCAATAAGTGGCCAGGAATAAATTATTTTTTTTCTTAGAGAAAGTTAGTCTGGAAAATGTTTCTTTCTTTTAGATTTGTTGGCAGTTCTTTCATGAAACACTGTCTTAAATGTTCCAATATACTTGAAAAGGTGGGTAGTCTGCATAACTGCGGGGTGGTCAAGTAGGTTGATAATATTGGCCAATATTTCTATGTTCTTAATGATTTTCTGTCTATTTGTCCTATCAATTATAGAGAAAGGGTTGTTGAAGTTTCCAACTATAATTGTGGATTCTTCTATTTCCTCTTTCAGGTCTATCAGTTTTTGCTTCATGAATGTTGAAGCTCTGTTATTAGGTTCATAAACACGGGACTTTATGTTGTCTTGATGCGTTGACCCCTTTATCGTTTTGAAATGACCTTCTTTATCTCTGTTCATACTCTTTGCTGGGTAATATATGTTGTGTGATATTGCTACAGCCACTCTAGATTATTTTGGATTAGTGTTAACATACTGCATCTTTTTCCATCTTTTATTTTTAACTTTCTGTGTCTTTATATTTAAAATGGATTTTGGATTCTTGTTGGCAGTTAATAGTTGGGTCCTGCTTTCTTCTCCAATCTGAAAATCTCTGTATTTTCATTGGAGTCAGTAGAGCATTTATATGTCATGTGAATTTTGATATACTTGAACTTAAGTATGTCATTCTACTATTTGTTTCCTATTTTTCTCCAGTGTTCATTGTTCAATTTTCCCTCTTTGCTGACATCTTTTGAACTCACTGAGTATTTTTATGGTTCTATTATACGTGCTCCATTGGCTTTTGAACCATAACTCTTTATTGTATTATATTAGTGATTTCTTTTTCTTTAGGGTTTACAGCATACATCTTTAACTTACTCCAGTCTACCATAAAGTGATATGATACCACTTCCCTGTGAACTTTACAAGAATATACTCCTGCTTATCTCTTTCTTCTTTGTGATTTTTTTTGCTTATACATTTTACTTCTGATGAATGTTACAAAACTCACAATTCATTGTTACAATTTTTGCCTTAAACAATCAATTATTATTTAAAGAGATTTAATTAGTGAGAAAAAATTCTATTTATTCACATAGTGACAATTTCTAGTGCTCTTCTTTTCTTGTTGTAAATTTGGATTTCCAGGGGCTGTCACTTTTCTTCTTCCTGAAGGACTTTTCTTTTTTTTTAAATATATCTTACAGTGCAGGTCTGCTACTGCTGAATTATTTCCATTTTCTTGTTCTTAGAAAGTTTTTGTCTTTGCCTTTGGTTTTGAATTTAATTTGGTCAAATGTACATTATTATGTCGGTTGAAATTTTTTCTTTCATTCCTTTTAAGGTTTTGCTTCACCATCTTCTGGTTGGTCTTATTTCTACAAGAAACTACTCTCATGTGTGTTTTTGTTCCTTTGCATATAATTCAGTTTTTTTCTGTTTGCTTTAAGGTTTTCTCTTCATCACTGATCTTAAGCAATTTGGTATAGTTTCCTTCTTTATGTGTGTGTTTTTGGTAGGGGCATAATTTGAATACAGACAAGATGAAAATTTAAAAATGAGAGATTGAATATATTAGAGAGGAACAGAAGAAAAAGGAATCATCCATCATTGAACAGATACTAAGAGAAAAAGACAATTGAGGTCTTAGAGAGTTTTGAATTTAAGAGGGAAAAGAAAGCAGAAGAAAACAATCAATTTATTTAGGACTTTCCTGTGTACATTGCTAATTCAATAACCCATTGGCCTGTGATTACTAAGTGAGCGAAATTAGGTTCAGGGATTTATGTTCAGGTACTGTGTATCTAAATGAAGTATATCTAATAGTCTTTTTACTCCAATCAGTCAAGCACAGGAAGGGATTGAGCTTGAAACTGGATGCTTTCATTTTACACAGAATGAAAGGAAGTAAATGTAAATGAGTACCAAGAGTTTTATGACTGGAGGCAGAAAGAAATCAAAAAGCTCATATCAGATTTTATCTGCAGATGAAGATCCTGCATGTGTATACCTGGGGTCTTGGGGTGATGGATAGAGGATTTTTGATCAGTTATTACAGGAAATAGAAAAGATGACTGACTAGAAATAAATAAAATAATTATGCTTGTTCAACTTCTAAATACATTTAGGAAAAATTTGCTGAGCCCAGTGGCTCACGTCTGTAATCCCAGCACTTTGGGAGGCTGAGGTGGGTGAAGTGCTTGAGCATAAGAGTTCGAGACAAGCCTGGGTAACATGGAAACACCCCATCTCTACAAAAAAATATAAAAATTAGCCAGTTGTGGTGTCACATGTCTGTGGTCCCAGCTACTCTGGAGGCTGAGGCAGGAGGATTGCTTGAGCCTTGGAGTTTGAAATTTCAGTGAGCCAAGCTCACACCACTGCACTGAAGCCCAGGTGACAGAGTGAAGCTGTCTAAAAAAACAAAAAAATAAACAAATAAATAAGAAAAGAAAGAAAGAAAGCACAAGTATAAAAATAAAATAATTAGCACTGTGGACTATAACTGAAAAAATACATGAAAATTATGATTTGTGTATAGTATTTGCCTCTGCACTTCATTGTTGGATATAACTATTTTAGTTTTACCAAGAAATATGGTGGAAGCTTTTGAATTTATTTTAAAATTGCAAATCTTCTGATAAAATAGCAGATATACATCCATTTGGGACTGAAAATACAGGCTTTTTCTTATTTAATGCAATAACTTTTTTCTCAGATATCTCATTTTGAATTTTAGTAAATAAATTATAGTCCAAGAAGAATGAACCTTTTGAAGTATTTTGAAATCAAAAGGCAATTGACTTAAAAATATTTTCTCAAATCTATTTTTAAAAATTGATTTTCCTTCTATTCATGACCAATGATGCTTACAAAAGAAAATTGTTTTATTCAAATGTTTTAAATGAATATTTTAAATAAATTGAGACAGTGAGAATTCCATCTATTTGCGGAAATATACATTTATCCACAAAATAATGGCCTAGAAATGTACTAGAATTGAATGAATGTACTAGAGAAATTCATGATGATCCTTTAGTTTATATTATGAAAGAAAATAAATAAGCAAGCAAGTTTTAAAGTGTTGACTAGGGAATGAAATGTAAGAAATCACTAATGTTCTGTGTAATGTAGTAGGGAAGGAATAGGCAAACAGGGATATAAGTAAAGGCTTTACAGAAGACCTGGCATTTGAGTGCTGCCTCAGAGGATGATTAAGCTTAAATCAGAGTTATTAATAGGAAAAGAAGCTGACACACAATGAAAACAAGTAACACACTTATAAAGTGGTTACAATGTGTCAGGTATTTCCGAAGTACTCTGAATCTAACAGCTGAGGTAGGTACTGTCATTACCATAGTTTCGTAGGTAAGGAAATTGAGGGGAGCTAAGTAACTTGCACAAGTTTTCACAGCTAATAGTGATGAAGATTCACACTGTAACATAAAACATGACAGAATGAATGGATTCTTCTCGAATATTCTCGAAGGTAGAGATTTCAGGTAACTATATATAAAGTCTAAACATAAGCAACAACCTGTGAAGTAAACAGTACTTATTATTCCCAGGTTATATACTATCACATGAGAGACAGAATTGAAACAAGAATTCTAGTTTCAAGCTCTGTATTTGTTCTTTTTCGTTTGAATGTTGACCCATGTACCACTCAGTGGTTATTTAATTTCGCCAACAAATAAATCCTACATTTATTATGTTGTAGATATTCTCCTGGGAACTCAGGATTCAAGGTAGAATGAAATTTACCATTTATGAGGATCAGAGAAATAAATATATTACTACACATAAACTTAAAAAATACAATAATAATTCTGAAAAGGAACATAAAATGAAGCAATAGAGTGTGGCTGGAGCAAATTTAGACTGGATGTCTCAGGCAGGCATCTCCAGGGATGCGATGTTTGCTCTGAGAGATGAATCAGGAGAAGAAGGGATGATACAGACAAACAGAAGAGTCCAAGCAGGAAGAACATGATTTTAAGACTAAGGCAGAAAGCCTAAATGTGATCAAGGTGCAGAAAATGAGCCAGTGTGGCTAGAATTAGGGAAGGGAGGGAGAGTGGAAGGAGGAGAGGAAGCAGAGTTAGTCTCTCAGACCATATGCAACCTGGAGGCCACGGGAAAGCATTCAGTGTTATTTGTAATTCTGATGAGAAAGCTCTGGAAATTAGTCATTAAATGGGCAGTTATAGGTGAGTATTTCCAAAGGCATACATGCTAAGATTTTCATATAATCCATATAAACCACTTTTCCTGAATGCATTCTTCAGAGGCTTTTCTTTCTATAAATAGGAAATTCCAGAGCAATTAATATATCATTATAATCAGCACACAGAAGAAGAAAAACCAAAATGCAGTGGGATCTCCAAGCACTGGGAAAATGTAGAGAATCCATTAGAACAGTCATGTGCAATAATACAGACTTGCATAGTTCTGGAAATTCAGAGTTTAAACTCTAGTATATTGTGTGCACATAGATTCATAAAATCTTAATGTTAGAGCTCTAATGGAACTCAGTGATCATCTCATTTTATAAATGAAGAAATTGGAGCCCAGCCAAGTCACTCACTTGCCCAGGGTCATAAACCTCATTACACAGAGTCAGAATGAAATTATTCCTGTAAGTAAGATGCCAAGGAAGGGAAATAGAATAATCTCTCCTTTTTATTCATTGACTTTGCCAAAGCATTTCATTCTGTACTATAGTAATTCATTGAGGCTGAAGCTGGTATTTTGTACAACTCAATGATTATTTCATCTACAATGCTCCCCTTTTCCCTCTCTTGCCCTGGGGAGGCTGAGCATCTCATTCATTTACCCACTGAAAAGCAGAAATGCTGCTATTATTACTG
Source organism: Homo sapiens (assembly GCF_000001405.40). Taxonomy (NCBI): domain Eukaryota; kingdom Metazoa; phylum Chordata; class Mammalia; order Primates; family Hominidae; genus Homo; species Homo sapiens. Next base: position 239,288,684 of record NC_000001.11, on the reverse strand, counting down.
CTTACATTAGACACTTTTTGTACCTGGGTCATCTTTGCTCGTCCACCTTGTTATTCTATGTTTGGTCTGACCGCCACTATGCAAATGCAACCTCACATACTATGCCTCAGCTGTATCACGTATTTCCTACTTTTTGCCCTGGGAATTCTCTGCTGCTCCCACATAGGTGCCTATAGGGACCTACTCAGGCATTCTGAGGTGAGACAAACCAGGAAGTAAAAAAAAAAAAACCCTTGACCAAAGAGAAAGGAGAGTTGGTGGATAAGTATGCCCTTATTTAATGACTAAGGTGAACAATTCTTTTTTTTTTTTATAGCATTAGGAGATATACCTAATGCTAAATGACGAGTTAATGGGTGCAGCACACCATCATGGCACATGTATACATATGTAACAAACCTGCACGTTGTGCACATGTACCCTAAAACTTAAAGTATAATAAAAAAAAAAGGTGAACTATTCTGAGGGCCATTTTTCATGGCTTGAGAAGTTGCCATTATTAAGTTTCTTTTGTGATTAAGTCATTTCCAAGAGAATGGGAGAGGAATCTGTAAACTGGGACAGTAGAACTAACCATGTCAGAAATGGACTGTCTGAAAAGGGGAGAGAGGTGGCAAAAGATGATCCGTCTTCTGTACTTGGTTCAGGTCAACGCATCGTGTCTCATGTGAGTGTGTCCAACTCAGGCCATATATGGGAGCATAACAGACACATGTCATTTCCTCTCTCAACATCATTTCTAATGTGGCCCCTAAGAGAATGGTATAATCAATGTGTGTTTTCCTTTTTGCATAACAAAGCATCTAATAAAATTTATCATGACATCGTTTGTGGATAAGCATTCAATCTATGAGCTATATGATAGTGCTCAACCAAATTTATAGTAGTTGGAATAAATGCATACTATAAATGTAGTTTAATGATTTAATTCTTTCATTTTAAAAACTAAAATCATATTACGTGCCAGGCAATAGTCTAAACACCGGAGATACAAAAGGGAACAAGACGTTATCTCTGCTCCCAAACTTATCATTGTTTAGTGGTGGACGTAGGTAAACAAACAAAAAAATGACAATTCCATAACAGTTTTAATGAGGAAATGGGAGCACAAAGAAAGAACACTTCAACAATCCTCTGAGTCTCAGGACAGGCCTCCCGGATGAGCTCAATACTCAACAAGAATGCAGGAATCTTGGAGGCGAGAGAAGGGTGAGGCCCTTCCCAGAAAGAGGGGAAATATTTTGCAAGCCTAAAAGAAATGAAGAAGAAACAATCAGATTATGTTTGTAGGGAGCTGTAATCATACTAGTGTCATTGGGGTGTAAATTTTGAAGAAAAGATGAGTTGAGAGGTGAGGCTAGAGAGACAGGCAGAAAAGAGATAAAAGTAAATGGGAGTGAAAGAATGATTAAGAGCAGAGCAGGGGAGAAAGAAAGGCTTTAATTTAAATGCAAAAATGAGTTCTTCGTAACATGGGCAATGGGAAGCTAAGCCATTGACAGATTTTTGAAAGGAAGAGTGGATGTAATAAGATATTAGTTTTAAGATGATCATTCTTATGGTTGTGCATGAGATCAGTTTGAGGAGGGTAAGACTTTTATCTTCATAAGAATAGACTGTGTACAATTTCAAGGGTAAAAGCTAGGGTTGAAGGCTGAATGGGAGATGCCAAGTGGAAAAGCAGAGAGAACAAAGGTAAGGAATTTGAGTGAGAAGGGAAGGATAGAGATTTTATGTCAATTAGATGAAAACTTAGGTGAGAGATAGGAATAAATAATTTTAAGTCATCCTTATGGTTTATAAAATTATATTTTAATTTACAAACTACACAAACACTTTATTGAATAAGTGATCAATGGAGAAAAAGACAAAAAATCACATAAATATTTTACCATCTAAATGTAACTGGTCTAAAAATATTGATCTATTTCAGTCTAACCTAACTTATGCCTATTTTATGTAAATATAATTGTAGTTTTTAAATATTTTTGGATCCTGCATGAAAGTACTATCCATATTGGTACGTAGTATTTATGAGAATAAATAGAAGTGATCATACAGTCAATTGGCTTATGGTGGCATCTAAACTACTTTGGGGATACAGACATGCAACATTTTACTGTTATTTCAATCACTGCTTTCAAGTCTTCTGTGTCAAATCTCCCTTCTTGGCTGGGTCCCAACCACCTTGTTGCCATCTAGTACTGATTCTGTAACTCTTCTCATTTTCTATGTTTGAAATTAGTGAGAAGTGCTTAAAATGGAGGGGCTTGGCATGCTCTGAACAAGTCCTCTCCTTTCTTGGGTTCCCATCCCACCAATCTCAGAGGCTGTGGAGGAGGGACAGGTTTTGAAAAGGCCAAGGCCTCTATGAATGAGTGAGGTCCAGCCCTCTGCTCATTGGTTGTCTTGCTATTCCTCCAATTAATTGTGATGCATTCTGTGTAGCAGCAGGTGCCTGAAGGTCAAGTCCGTAGTATGGGTTCTGGGTCTAGCTCTGTGTTTTTACTTCATTTCTTCTTCTGAATTCTGTTGCTGGATCTCTTTGCCATCTAGGTAGCACTTAGTTGGGTTAAGAAAAAAAAAAGTCAGCAGAAGCTCAACTACATATGTGTCTTTCAATTCAATGAAAAAAATCAAAGGCAGATCCTCAAACTAAATACATCCCAAATATATAAGTTGCTGGCTATGTTGAATACAATCAGTCACAAATTGACCTCTCCAGCTAAATCAGCTTAAAATCTTTGTAAAGAATAGACAAAAATACATTTCTCTCTTCTCTAAGGGGCAGGGGGTTGCCTAATTTGTATTCACACATTGACAATTTTATATGAAAGTCCAAATTGAATGAGACTCCTGGGGAAGACAGCAATGATGTTTTCATTTTGATATTACAGGGTCAAGAGACTTGAACAACTTGCAAGGAAAAAAGATGCCCTAATATTAAGGCTTCATGAAGCCATGCAACATAGTTTGGCTCTGTGACCCCACTCAAATCTCATCTTGTAGCTCCCATAATTCACACATGTTGTGGGAGGGACCTGGTGGGAGATGATTGAATCATGGGGGTGGGGTCTTTCCCATGCTGTTCTTGTGATAATGAATGGGTCTCATGAGATCTGATGGTTTTAAAAAATGGGAGTTTTTCTGCACAAGCTTTTTTTTTTCCTGCTGCCATCTGTGTAAGATGTGATTTGCTACTCCTTGCCTTCTGCCATGATTATAAAGCCTCCCCAGACATGTGGAACTGTAAATCCAATAAACCTCTTTCTTTTGTAAATTGCTCAGCCTCAGGAATGTCTTTATCAGTGGCATGAAAACAGACTAATGCAGCATGGGTAGGGAAGTAATTTTAAGGAGGATAGAGGTGAGATCCTCAGCCCATCTTGTGATTCTGGTTTGTAGATCACAGAGAAGAGATAATAAATTGTGATGACGTACTTAAGTCCTTTCTGGAAGGAAAGTTAGTAATACTTTAGTATTAACAAGCTACCATTGGTTAAACATGCAGCAGGCACTTTACATATATAATCATTAAATTATTCTGCAAGATGGATATCATTTCCATTTTACTGATGATGCTCAGTTAAGTAATTTGTTCAAGACTACAAAACAAACAAGGTCTGTATTTTCCTTTATATGATCCAGTGAAGAAAATATTTTATTTCTGTTACTATTGTATTTGTTATCTAAGTTTTAGTTTCCCCTTACCTACATCTCAAGATCTGTTTAGGGGAGATGATAGATGTGTGCATTCAGAAACGAATGTGTATTCAAAATATTTTGTTTCCGAATGTGTAATATTTATAGTAAACACATTTTCTTCTCTGTCAAAGAGAAGAACAGAAGGTTCAAGTGGCTGAAGGAGAAAGAGGTACAGAGAGTGACCTCCAAGGAAAGTCGATCAGACTGACTTTTAACTGGAACGAGTGGAGAAGGTAAGCTCATAAAGAACTGGAAGTACTGGGAGAAACAGAGGCGCTCCATCTTCCGTGGCCAGGGGCAAAGATGATACAGGTGACACCAGGGCACCAGGCAGGGACAGTCAACAGTTCTAAAGTCTAGCCAATTCCCAGCCACACAGATGCACCCAGACATAGAAACTACACCATAAGCGGGAGCAGAAAGAGGGGCAGAAGAGAATGACAAAAGAATAAAGTTAGTGGATGCTTTTCTTTTTCTGACCTCCTCCATGATGGCTTAACTATTCAAACAGCAAAATTGACATTTCAAAGAAAGAACTAGTGACAGTTTGGTCCAGTCTCCCCAAGGGGTAGTAAAGGAAGAATTGTTTTGCTGAGAGAGTTGAACAAATATTTTGAAATTACAATGAAAAAGAAAAACTAAGGCTTTCAACACATCTGAAAACAGAGCATACCAAAATGAAGGAGTTACTGGCTGATTACTGAATGTGAAAGCAAGCAGTTCACAAATAGACAAAAATTAAGAAAATTTTTGCTGTTAATAAAAAATTATTGTTCCCACATAAGCTTAACAATTGCCTACCTGAAATTTTCCTGACTCTCTGCACATACTTGCATCTCTGAAGATGGGTGTCAATACCTAACTTTTGAGAATATGAAGAGATAATTTTCATAAAATGAGGTAAATCTCTGAGTACAGACTCATACATAAAATCGCCTTCCTACAGCAAAGTCAGAAATTCAAAACATATTTGATTCGTAGTAGAAATGAAATCAATCAAAAGAGCCTATAGGTGACCCTTGAACAACATGGCTTTGAGCTTTGAAGGTTCATTTATATGCAAGTTTTTTTCAATAACCATATTGCAAAATTTTGTGGAGATTTGTGACAATTTGAAAAAAACTCATAGACAAACAGCATAGCCTAGAAATATCTTAAAAATGAAGAATATATTATGTATGTCATGGATGCATAAAATATATGTAGATACTTATCTGTTATGTCATTTACTACCACAAAACATACAGAAATCTATTATAAAAAGTAAAACTTTATGAAAACTTATGCACACAAACACAGACTTGTATATGGCGCCATTTGCAGCAGAGAGAAATGTAGACAAACATAAAGATGCAGTATTAAATCATAACCGCATAAACTTCATTGTAGTGCATCCACTGTAATAATTTGTAGCCATCTCTTGTTGCTAGTGTGGTGAGCTCAAGTGTTGTATCTGCTTAAAACGTTGTGAGTGTCTGCTTAAAACGCCTAGTGAAGCCAATCATCTCTGCGTGAGTAGTTTATCTTTCCAGCAAATTGACTATCACAGTAAAAGTGGTCTCTTATAGTTCTCAGGTATTTTTCATTGTGTTTAGTGCAATATCGTAACCTTGAATAACACCATGGGAGCCATACAAAGTGTGACTAATGATGCTGGAAGTGCTTCCCAAAAGCAGAGAAAAGTCATGACATTATAAGAAAAAGTTGCAGTGCTTGATGGGCACCACGGATTGAGGTCTGCAGCTGTGGTTACCTGCCATTTCAAGATAAATGGATCCCACGTAAGGACCTTTGTAAAAAAGAGAAAAGGAAATTCATGAAGCCATTGCTGCTGCTATGCTAGCAGGTGCAAAAACCTTGCACTGTTTGCGAAATGCATTTTTATCTTGTGTCCAAATGCAGCTTTTATGTGGGTGCAGGATTGCTATAAAAAGGGATACCTATAGACTAATAAGATTTGTGAAAAATTGAAGCCATTATATGACAACTTAAAGCAAAAGGAAGTGAAGGATCTAAAGCTGGGGAATTTAATGCCAGGAAAGGATAACGTGATAATTTTAGAAAAATGTTTGGCTTAAAGAAAAGTCAAGATAACAGGGGAAGCAGCTTCTGCTGACCAAGAGCCAGCAAAGAAGTTCCCAGATGCCATTAAGAAAATCATTGAAGATAAAGGATATCTGCCTGAACAGGTTTTTAACGATAAAAGTTCCTTATTCTGGAAAAAAAAAATGCAAAGGACATTTATTAGTAAAGAAGAAAAGGGAGCACCAGAATTTAAGTCAGAAAGTCATAGGCTCACTCTACTGTTTTCTGCAAATGCAGTCGGGTTTATGATTAGGACTACTCTTATCTGTAAAGCTGCTCACCCCTTGAGACTTCAAGGGGAAAGATAAACCAGCTGCCAGACTTTTTGGTTGTACAAGAAGGCCTGGACAATAAAAATCCTTTTTCTGGGTTAGTTTCACTGATGCTTTCTCCCTGAAGTCCGGAAGTACCATGCCAGTAAGGGATTGCCTTTTGAGGTTCTTTTGATATTGGACAATGCCCCTGGCCAGGCAGAACCCCAACAGTTCAACACTGAAGGTATCAAAGTGGTCTTCTAGTCCCAAATATATCTCTAGTTCAGCTTCTAGATAGGGGGTCATAAAGATTTTAATGCTCATTACACATGATACTCTTTGGGAAGGATTATCAACGTCATGGAAGAGAACTCCAATAAAGAGAGAACATCATAAAAGTCTGGAAGGATTACCCCATTGGAGATGCCACTGTTGCTACAGAAAAAGATGCAAAAGCCATCAAGCCCTACACAATGAATTCCTGCTGGAGAAACTGAGTAACGAGATTTACAACAGCATCAATCAAGGAAATTATTAGAGAGATTGTGGATATGGCAGAAAAAAAAAGTAGATGGAAGGCTTTCAAGATATGGATCTTAGAGAAATTCAAGAGCTAATAGACACCACATCATAGGAATTAACAGAGGTAGACTTGACGGAGATGAGTGCATCTGAACCAGTATCAGACAATGAGGAAGAAGAAATTTAAAAAGCAGTGCCAGGACCGGGCACAGTGGCTCACACCTGTAGTCCCAGCACTTTGGGAAGCCAAGGTGGGTGGATCGCTTGAAGCCAGGAGTTCAAGACCAGCCTAACCAACGTGGCAAAACCCCGTCTCTACTAAAAATACAAAAATTAGTTGGGCGTGGTGGCACATGCCTGTAGTTCCAGCTGCTTTGGAGGCTGAGGCAAGAGAATCACTTGAACCTGGGAGGAGGAGGTTGCAGTGAGCCAGGATCATACCACTGCACTCCAGACTGAGTGACAGAGCAAGACTCTGTCTCAAAAAAAAAAAATTGACAAATTGATATTAGATAATCTGGCAGAAGGGTTTTGATTATTCAAGACTGCTTTTGACTTCTTATGACATGGATCCTTCTAAGATATAGACACTGAAACTAAAGCAAACAATGGAAGAAGGATTGGTACCATATAGAAACATTTTTAGAGAAATGTAAAAGCAGAAAATCAGATAGAAAATACAATATATTTTTGTAAAATTATAGGAACTGTGCCTGACTCTCTTACCTCCCTTCTACCTCCTCTACCTTTCCTGCCTATGCTATCCCTGAGGCAGCAAGACCAACCCTTACTTTTCCTCTTGCTCAGCCTACTCAGTGTAAGGATGATAATGAGGGTGAAGATCTTTATGATGATTCACTTCTACTAATTGAATAGTAAATATATTTTCTCTTCCTTATGAATTTCTTAATCTCATTTCCTTTGCTCTAGCTTACTTTATTGTAAAAATACAAGATATAATACATATAACAAAAAATAAGTGTTAATTAGCTGTTTATATTATTGGTAAGGATTCTGGTTAACAGTAGGCTATTTGTAGTTAAACTCCGGAAGAGTCAAAAATTATACACAGATTTATGACTGTGTGCTGTGTGGGGCCTCCAGTGCTCCTAACCTCTGCATTGTTCAATGTCGACTATATTTGTTTTTTTGGGATTTGTGCAGCTTCATACCAAATTCGACATTAATATTGAAATTAGTGATCATTTTGTTGATAATTTTAATAGTTGCCTTTTTGGTAATTAAAGTTTGGAGGTTTTTATAAGTCAGGATTCCACCAGAGAAACAGAATCAGTAAGAGATTGGTGCACACACACACATACACAAACACACAGATGCATAGATGCAAACATACATAGAGACACATGTGCACATACACACATAAATTTATTTCATAGAATTGACTTATGCGTTTGTGGGGTATGGCAGGAAGAGTCTGAAATTCATAGGGTAGGCCAACAGCCTGGAAAGTCTCAGGTGGGAGCAAACCACTGAGAGGCAGAATTTCCTTTTTGTTGGGGAAACTTCAGTTCTGCTTGTAAGCCCTTTCAAATGATTGGATCAGGCCCACTCACATTATAGAAGACAATCTCCTTATCTAAGTCAACTGACTGTACATGTTAATCACATCTCTGAAACCCCTCACAGCAACACTTTGCATTACTGGCTACTATAGACTCTCTATGTTGGCACTTATCCAAGTTGACCCATCACAGTTGTGCACTCAAATGTACATTTAGAATTTCACTGTCAGTTTCCATAAAAATATAACATTGCCATTGAACCAACAGAAATTCAAGGTGCCTAAAAAATGTATCTTTAAAGGTGTGGGGATAATTACCATATATAGAGGAAAGGCAGTGAGTCATAGTCTAAAATGACATTTCTTCCTATTTTATTTTTATTTGGAAAATTTGGTGCTCCCCAAGTGCATAGGTTTGAAATTGCAGACTCCTCAATTCAAAGTACACCATCTCATTAGTTCATATAAAGATGCTGGCTTTCCATTTCATTTTTCCCTTGTGTATTTTATTTCTCATTGTTCACTGGAAACAACTTCCTTCCTTCCTCCCATTAGACGTATTCTATAAGGTACTTAATATATGCATTATTATATTGGTTATATATGCCTCCTTTAATAAAGAAGTATCATTCATATGCGTATGTATTTTAACATGTATTAAATTATGCTATACATTTTATTCTATTTTATTTTATCACTCAAGGCTATGTATTGAATTTCTATCCAGGATGCTTCATACTGCTACATACTCTTTCATCGTATGCATTCATCCCATTTTCTTTTATCAATTTTTCCAGTTATGGACAGTGTGGCTTCCAGATTATCAATATCACATGCAAAAATTAGAGTCATAGACTTTTGTGTACACGTCTCCTTGCGGATCTTAACAAATATTTTCTGATAAATATACATCCCAGCAATTAAGTCAATCTGTAAGTGTAACTTACCACATGAATAGATTAAAGAAGAAAATATCATATGCTTTGTTAAATACGTGCAGATAAAATCCAATACCTATGACTATTTTAGTTAACAACTCTTGTATGTGATAAATAACTTAGAAATATTATATTTAATATTTGCAAAAGTGTAGCTACAAATAAAATGGACTTATAGTTCCTTTCTTTTAGTCTAACTATTATGGTTTTGATATTATGTTTATAAGCATCTTGTAAAATGGATTGAGTGGATTTGACTTTCTCTGTTCCTTGAAATTTTGGTAGAAGTCATTTGGGTCAGGGGCCTTCGGGGGAGAATGGAAGATGTTTCTCATTAGTCTTATTGCTCAACTATTTAATGCCATGTGCTCCTTTGAGGTTTCTATTTCCATTTGCACAAAACAGTGTCTAATATATTTACATCAATTTTGTCTAGGCAGTTGAGTGTGTATTTGATCAATATTTTCCTCTATGATTCTACTAACCTCCCTTGAATCTATAATTGTCCTTCTCCTCCTTAATGTATTTTGTTTGTTTGCAATTTATTTTTTTTCTTGTTCCATATTGTGAAAACTTTGGATATCTTATTGATCTTTTCAAAGACTCCAGTTGTCAATATATTATCATTGGATTCATTTTCTAATTCTCTAATTTATATATCTTGATCTTATAGTTATTATTTCCTTTAACTTTATTACTAAAGTAGTTGCTACTTTTCCTTTTTTCCAGGTTCTTGATGTGAGTGCTCAGTTCTATAGTTTTAACATTTCATGTTTTCTAGGAAATATGTTTAGAGTGATATATAAACATTTCTTTAGAACTATCTCACAAATATTATTATACAGTGTTTTCACTGATAATTATTTCTGTGTCTATGACTTTTAAGACACCCTCTTCAATAAAATTGTTAATTAGCAATTTGTTACAAAATTATAGACATGGCCTGGCCCAATGGCTCACGCCTGTAATCCCAGCACTTTGGGAGGCTGAGGTGGGCAGATCATCTGAGGTCAGGAGTACGAGACCAGCCTGACCAACATGGAGAAACCCCATCTCTACTAAAAATACAAAATTAGCCAGGCATGGTGGTGCATGCCTGTAATCCCAGCTACTTGGGAGGCTGAGGCAGGAGAATAGCTTGAACCCGGGAGGGGGAGGTTGCAGTGAGCTGAGATCGTGCCATTGCACTCCAGCCTGGGAACTCCGTCTCAAAAAAAAAAAAAAAAAAAATATATATATATATATATATATATATATATACACACACACACACACACACACACACACACACACACACACATATATATATATACACACACATACATATATATATACACCCACACACACAGACATATGTAATTTTATTTTGAGCTATTCTTTGGTTGTTTATTTCTAATTTTATTGTGCTGTGGTCAAAGCAAAAACAGATTATCCCTCACCATCCATTGAAACAATCTGAATAAAGGTAATGAATACACAAAGAGCTTTACCTTAGCAAGAAATGAGACCTAAATTAGCCTGAAATTCTTAAATATAGTATTCAGTAGTCAGGGCTTACATCTGCACAACAGAAATGCCCACTGAGTTTTGTACATCTTCTGACTCTGGGGCAATTTTGCCTCTGCCTTTGTTTTCTAATTTTACTTAGCTTCCCTGAGGATACTGAATCTCTCTCTCCAAACTCAGACTTTCCTAAAAAAGGCCCTGATGACATACTGACTCTTACAAGTCCCCATTCCCCACATTGGTAACCTCTGGTTGTATCTTATCCAAACCTGAACAAACTACCTAGTACCATCAGGAGGATACCTGGAGACTCCAGCTTCTCTGTCTCATTCACCAGATACACCCTCTTTCATTCCTACTACATTTATATTTACCAGTAATTCTCATACTTTTATTGTGCATAATAGTTACAGGATTAGTGTGTTGGAGGAGAAGGTGGTTTGTTGTAAATGCATCTTCTTCCTCTCTGTCCATATTCTGACATGTAGTATGTCTCAGTTGAGAACATTTTGAATAAGCAGACTGAATTACTGAAAATTACTGTCCAAGGAACCCACACTGAGGAGCATGAATGTATTCAGGCATGAATAGCTAGTTTCTGAAAGTCATCTCTGCAGTGATGGTGTCTTATTCCCCCTCTGACCCTCAGTGTCAGAGAATCACAGGTCAAGTGTCTTCATCAATATTTCTTCAAAGACTGATACCTGTAGGGTCAGAGTGCTAATTTGGACTGCTGGCCATACCGGTTGAAGAGCTGACCAGAAGTGAGATAGTCATTCATTTCTAGAGTCTTTTCCTTGCCTACTGTTTTGTTTGTTTGTTTTGTTTATTTGTTTTTGCTGAGAATTGAACTAAAATGCCTAAGACTAGACAGATCCTTATAGTGAATTGATTTGTTTTACTGCCAGGATGACAGTTGGTGTCCAGCAAATACTTAATGTTTGATTAATAGATATCAATGGCATATATTCGCTGAAACTCTGTTATCTCCAATTTATTGAAGAAAATATTGAAACAGTGTGTGTGACTAAGAGTGTTGTTGAAATTGCAGCCTAGTTAACCCAATTTCAGGGTGTGATTATTTCCAGGCTTCCAGGGAAGTTTTTGCCTGCCTGGCACACATGATGGGTTGTGGTTTGTTTTCCCAGGAGGGAAGAACAGTTGGTTGGATGGAGATTGCTGCCCCAGTGAACTCTCCTCTGCCTGCAGTGTTCCTCAGCTGCAACCAGGAGGTCCTCATCAGTGTGAGGTGTTCTTCTGTTTCAGAAACAAAGACCATCACATAAACTACCTATTATCCATCCGTTTATATTAGTGGCTCTTTATTTCGTTGTGATTTGCTTATTTTTGATGATGGATCTGTACGAGTCTGCTTGGGCTGCCATAACAAAGTACCACAGATTGAGTGGCTTCAACAAGGGATATTTCTTTTCTTTTCTTTTGTTTCTTTTTTTTTTCTTTTTGAGATGGAATCTCCCTCTGTCACCCAGGCTGGAGTGCAGTCGCATGACCGCTGCACCTCCTGGGTTCAAGTGATTCCCCTGCCTCAGCCTCCCTGAGTAGCAGGGACCGCTCCACCTCCTGGGTTCAAGTGATTCCCCTGCCTCAGCCTCCCTGAGTAGCAGGGACTACAGGTGCATGCCACCATACCTGGCTAACTTTTTTTTGTATTTTTAGTAAGACAAGCTTTAACCATGTTGGCCAGGCTGGTCCTGACCTCATGTGATCTGCCTGCCTCGGCCTCCCAAAGTGCTGGGATTATAAGCATGAGCCCCAGTGCCCGGCCACAAGGGACATTTGTTTTCTTGCAGATCCAGAGGCAGGAAGTCCAAGATCAGGGAGTAGGCAGGGTTGGTTTCTGATAAGGCCTCCCTCATCGGCTTCCGGGCAACTTCCTTCCTGCTGTGTCCTCACGTGGTATTTCCTCCATCTGCTTGTGGACAGACAGCCACTTGGTGTGTCTTCCTCTTCCTGTAAAGACACCAGTCCTTTCAGATTAGAGTCACTCCCTTATGATCTCAGTAACCTTTACTCCTCCAAAGGCTCTATGTCCAGATATAATCACACTGGGGGTTAAGGCTTTATCATATTAATTGGGGAGTGGGGAGAGCACAGTTTAGTCACTAACAGGGCCTTTTGGACAATCTTTTTGACATGAACTGCTGGTTTTTATTATTTTGGGGCCTAGAAAACTGGTTAAAATTATGGATGCTGAAGCAAAACTGCTGGAATATCTCCCAGGTCCTCTGTTTGATATTTCTGAGACTTTAGGCAAGTGACTCAATCACTCTGTGTTCATTTTCTTATTTGTAACATAGGAATAATGACATTAATGTAATATCTGTGGCAACTATGAGAATGTGTCTTATAGATATCCAACTACAGGGAGCATAATTGATCAAGGGTCCTGTGCTCTGAAATACTTTACTCAGGTGCTTCCTCCCCTCATTTCTGTCACAGGTTTTTCTCTGAATAAAATCATTGCATATTTAATTCCGACATGGAGGGGGGCTACTTTCAGAGCATCCAGACTAACACAAGTGGTACTGGACCCAAGAGTGGTCTGTCTGATAAGACATGCAGTAAGATGATGATGCTGAACTTGGTCACTCACCACCCAGCAAAAAAGAAGACACCATCTTGGTTCATTGGTGGGACAGATAGTACCTGGCACAAGGTAATGCCTCCATTGCTAAGGATTTCCCTGGTAGTAGCCTGAGAAAACGTTCCCATGGAGGAGAATGCTGTGGCTGATGTGCCCATTCAGGCATTTGAAAACACGTGGGAAAGCAATGTCCACAAAAACAGCATAGTGGTATTGATGCTAGGTTGTACTGATGCCCTTCAAAAGAATAAAGAAGACTGAGGACCGTTAGCAGTTTAAGGCTAAGTGTGAGAACCAAAGACCTCTGTGATGACTTATGAAGAGGGTGTTCTTTCTTGCAGTAAAAGAACAGATATAGTGGAATGACAAGCTTACAACTCAATCAGTGGAATTGCAAATCTCCCAAGACTTTTGGACACTCAATGAAGGCAGGCAGGTCTATTGTGCAAAGGTCAGGGTCCTGGTGGGAAAACCTGGAATTCTGAAACATTGAACCAAGACATTTGATGCCCATGAGGATTTTGACTGTGTGACCTGCCCCTCCTCCCCCAGACTCCTGGACTTTTAGAGATGACCTACCCTTCCCTGATAAGAGCTGGTACTTCTGTTGTGCTAAAAGAGGCAGCAACAGCATCTTCCAAACTAGGTTAACAGGTGCCCTCTAAGATGTTCCTCTACCTTCTGTTCTGACTGCCAGGCAGATAATGCTCATATAAGATAATCCTAGCTAACGTAGCTAGGGAGATTTTGGACATGATACAAGAAGAAAGAAATGCTAAGGAAAGAAAGAGATCTAAAGAATGCAAGCATAAGCTGGATATACCAGCATGAGCCTTGATCAGATTGGGCTGGAATTTAAAGTTGGATAAGCAAGAATGAAGTGGCTGGGGGGCACTTTCTGGGTGATCAGGTAATCTCATTGCCAGAAGAAGCCTGCATAAATCGTATAAAGCCTGCATAAATTGATGGCCAACTCGCAGTGAAATGGAATGCCTGAGTTGCCCTGACAGAGAGAAGATGAAGCAACCCAGAGGAAGAAGGAAGTGGGCATGATAGAATAGATATGTTATATTTGACCAGAATACTCACCAGAGAATTATGTTCCATGAGTGGGCTCAGAGGACACGCCATTCATCAAGACTGCCAGCAATGTCCTGGTGAGAGAGTTACAAACATCACAAAGAATTTAAGTGGTGGTTTTCTTCTGGAGATTCAAGGCAAAGTATAGAGAGGTTGTCACAGGTCTAAGTTTCTTAATAGCCATGGGAGTAATGGAGCCCCAAAGTAATAGAAGCCAGGTGGTGGCATTTAAACAACAGAAGGCAGAAGGCTTCACTTGTCATAACAATCTTTAAGGATCAGCTTAAGAGGGCTTGAATTGGAGAGTAGTGGCTTGAATAGGAAAGTCATGGAAATGATTAATAGAGTACAGTGTCCACAGGGGAAAATTAATGGGCAGCCAGCAGAAGTGCTGCTTAATTATCTATAATGGAATAGAAGGACAAGAATGGAGGAGCAAAAGGCTGAAGGTGATCATTTCAATTAAAACTGACAATACATTGCTTAGTGGTCAGATCTGAACCAACATTCACAGGCAGAACCCATAGACTTGAGAATAATAAACCCCTACCAGAAGAACCATACAACGTCACAGGCAGAACCCATAGACTTGAGAATAATAAACCCCTACCAGAAGAACCATACAACATCATGGCAAAAATATACCCTGTCAATTCTCCTAGTCCTTTCCCAAAGGACTTACAGACATTTTATCAGGTGGGTATATATTGAGGAAAGGGGGATCACCACTGCCCTAGTCTGTTTTATGGTGCTGTAGCAGAATACCATAGGATGGATTATTTATTATAAACAGAAATTTAGTTGGCTCATGATTCTGGAGGCTGGGAAGTCCAAGAGTATGGTTCTAGTATCTTGCAAGGACCTTCCTCCTGTCTCCTTGCAAGGACCTTCCTGCTGTCTCATCCCATGATGGAAGATGGAAGAGCAACAGAGAGTGAGAACAATAGAGCAAGAGAGGGGTGAGCTCAATTTTATAGCTAACCTACTCTCTTCATAATGACATTAATCTATTCATGATAGCAGACTCCTCATGACCGAATTACCTATTTTGAAGCCCCATATTCAATCACTGTTGCATTGGGAAATAAGTGTTCCACACACAACCCATGGGAGACACATTTGCAATATAGCAATCATCAAGAAGTTTCAAAGACTATTGCGCATGAGGTCTATGTTGATGTTAATACCTAAAGAACAAAAGAGTAATCACAGGCTCTCTTTTAGATTGGAGGCTCAAGAAAACTATGTGATAATTGAAGTCCTGACTAAAATTCACCTCACAATAGAGCTACTAGATCTATGAACACACCCAGTAACTTTTTCTGTACTTGGCAATTAGAGCAATCACTATATTGAGCATCTGGTTTATTCAGTAAGCGATATTGCAATGGGAAAGGAAAAATGGAAACCTCTAAAATTGTCTCTCTTTGGCCAAGAGGTAACTAAAAAATCAATATTATATCCTAGGAAAAAGGGCAGAGATGCCACCATTAAAGACCAAAAGGACGAAAGGTTGCTGGTTGTTATCAGATTTCCATTTAATTCACTATTTGATTAGTATTGGAGAATGAACAGAGATTATATCCTAATAGTAGCACTGATGGCTTCTGCTGTCCCAGATGTGCTGCTATTTCTTGAGAAGATTAATAAGGCCTCAGGTACATGGTATATGGCCATTGATTTGGTGACTGTATTCTTTTTCATTCTAATTAGAAAAGAAAATAAGAACAGTTCACATGAATGTGATCGTGTGCTTGGAATTGCTAATTATGAGATACATTCTGTTAGACCTTCCAAGTCATAACGCTGGACTTGCACAGCAGAAATCCACTGAAGATGGATATGGTGCATCTGGGTTCAAGCTTAAGCAGGGACAGAGGACATGAATATTTAGCCCAGAATCCCTCATCACTGACTACAGTTGCATCAGTGCTTCCCCTCTGGCTTACGTTTATGGTCATGTGTGAGGGAGGTCCTATGTGGCCAGCTGAAAAAGGAGGTAAAAATTAAGCTTATGTTATGGATGGGCCAGCTTGAAGCACTGATGTAAGCCAAAAATGGACAGCACTGCATGCCAGCTATATTCAGGAGTGGCCTTGAAAAGCCATGAAAAGGACACAGATGTGAGCAGTGCACCATGGTCATCCCCTTTTATGAAAAGTAAATGTCCTAAGATGAGAATATCTACAGATTCCTGAGCAGTGGTCAATGACCCGGCCACGTGGTCAGTGGCCTGAAAGAAAAAAGACACTAATATCAGAAACAAAGAGATATGGGGTAGAGGCACTTAGGTGAACATGTGAGAGTGTACACAAAGTGTAAAGAGTTTTCTATCACATGTTATCACAGACCAGCATTCCCCCACAGAAAAACACAGAACAATCAAAGGAAGAAACAATTTAGCCAATGACATTAGCAAGGCTTTATCATTGACCACCTCATTACTGACAATATAATCACATAAATAGAGTGACCATGCAAGAGGAAGACTATGTATGGACCTAACATGGGGGAATCTCATTCTCCAAAGCTGGTTTAGATATTGCATTAGTCTGTTCTTGCATTGCTATATAAAACTAGCTGAGATGGGGTAATTTATAAAGAAAAGAAGTTTAATTGACTCACAATTCTGCAGGCTGTACAGGAAGCATGGCTGAGGAGGCCTCAGGAAACTTACAGTCATGGCAGAAGGGGAAGGAGGAGCAGGCACATCTTACATGACTGGAGAAGGAGGAAGAGAGAGAAGGGGGAGGTGCCACACACTTTTAAACAACCAGATTTCATGCGAATTCACTCACTATCATGAGAACAGCAAGGTGGAAGTCCACCCCCATGATCCAATCACCTCCTACCAGGCCCCTCCTCCAACACTGGGGATTACAATTCGACATGAGATTTGGACAGGGCCAAAAATTCAAACCATATCAGATATTGTTGCTTGTGAGTGTCCGATTCATCAGGAGTGAAACCAACCCTGATCCCCTGATAAAGCCATTCTTCAAGAAGACCACCCAACTCCTTGATAGGAAGTTGAATGCATCAGGTACTTTCTTTCATAAAAGTTCTGGTAGTTTATCCTCACTGGGATAGACACCTACTTCAGGTATGGGTTTACTTTTCCTGCCTGTAAAGCATCAGCTATCACCATTACCCAGGGACTAATGGAATGAATGATTTATAGACTTGGAATCTCATACTGCATAGGCTTTGTCCAGAGAAGGGGTTGTAGGATTGAGCCTATGACTACGTGATTCATCTGTCATCACATATACCCCTCCATCCAGAGATGGCCAGCTCTGTACAATGGTGGAAAGGCCTTCTAAAGGCACAGCTGAAGTGCCAGTGTGGAGGGAACATGTTGAAAAGATATCAAACCTTATAGAATACACTGTATTTTTAATCAGAGAGTATTCTATAGTGCTACTTCTTCAATAGGAAGGATGCAGGGTCCAGGAACCAAGTCACTGAAGAAGGAATGGCTACGTTCACCATCATCCCCTATGACCTACTGGAACATCTTGTATTACTCAGATATGCAACTTTGAGCTCTACCAGGGACAGAGGCCATGGCCCTCAAAGAAAGAAAACACTTGCAAGGGACACAGCAAGAGTCCTTCCCATTGAGCTATAACTTAGGATTGGCCTCGGTACGTTGAACATCTTTTGCTCAAGGACCAACAGGTGAAAAGATGAACTGCCTCACCATCATGGATAATAGGCCTGATCAGGAGAAGGAGGTAGGGTTACTATTACACAATGACGTCAGGGAGAAATATGTGGATCTCAAGAGATTCATTTGGAGGCTTCGTAGTCTTACTTGCCACATTGCACCTACGAATTGAAATCTGTAGCAATTTGGACTGAGAAGGTTTTGATTATCAGGTGTTCCATACTCCCAGATATAAGGTTTGGATCACACTAACATGGAAGCCACCAGGACCTGCAAAGTTATAGCTGAGGGTGAGAGGATATAAGAATGGCTAATGTGGGAGGGAGGAGGATCAGTTGATGCTCTGACATGAAGTACAATGACAGGAGCTGTAGTTTGTTTCACTAACATTCTGTGTTCACTTCAAGAGGAAAGGACCGTTGGATCCATAGAGAAATTGCTCCTCAAACTCGTGTAAAGTAGATCTGCATGAGACAAGGGTGACTTGCGGTTATCTCCCCGTTGGACCTCCAAATACAGTGAGTGTGACTGCCCAAGGGCCCCAGGTACTGGAATTTGAAATCCTCAAGTGTGGCAAGGATACTAGGTATGTTCAGTCCTGGAAGACATGGAACTTTTCTGATGGCCAGCTTTAGCTGGAGAACTCCCCAAGGCCAGGCTGGGCTTTCCTTAGACTACAAGGTACTGAGTATGCTTTCATTCCACTTTCTTTTACTCTCTTTTTCACTCAGAGTCAGTCTGGCATTTCTGTGTGTTGGTTCTCCAGCCTTCTTCTGCTCTTTAATCATTTTTTTTCACTGGCGTTTTCTCTAACAAAATCCTTGCGTGTATAATCCTCTCTTGGCAAATGTTTCTCAGAAGACTCAGAGCAACAGTATTTCACTGAATTGCTTGGAGGATTAACCATATTCCTGGCACATTGTAATATATACACATATGTATGTGTGTGTCTGTGGAAGTGTTCCTGGTTTGGCAGTATATGACATTAAGGTTTAAAAGTCAGTGTTTTCATTTTTTGTTTTTGTTTTTTAATTAATCTCGAGCTAAGAGTTAGGCTTTTCTGCGCAAAGCTGTTGTCAATTTTATGGTCTTGCAAGTAAGCCTTTTGGAAGAAAATAAAAGGAACTGTTGATACGTAAGAGTGAGATCAAGGCTTAAAATGTTTAAGAACAGAGAACAGCAGAATATCTAAAAAAAGGTTTCTTAATTTTTTCCAAAGTTGTAAGGATGAATACCCTTCAAATATTCTACAAGTTGAAGCCATTCCTAGTGGCTTTATCATCAACAGGAATTCTACTGATACATTACAAATGTCAATGATACTACATTCAGTCTTGTTATTGGGGATCTTGCTAGGATGCCCCTTCAGTCTGTAACTCTCTTTTTGTTTTATTAGTTTCAGGTTTCCATTAGGATTTGTACATATGAAAGTTATAATGGATGCTTTCCTTGCTTTCTATGTTATTTATAAGATGTTTGAGAACAAACAGAAGTTAATATGTAGCCTTATCCCATCCCTAGAGTACGAAGAACACTTGAGAAGTTTCTGGTCTACATTTTAATAAGCCAGTGTGAACACATATTCCATCAACATTCCTAACAGTCTTGCCTTCTTGAAGGAACTTCATGTTCCAAGTGACTTGAAGGTTACTTAGCAGATTCAGTTACTCTGAGATCTACATCATACCACAAGGTTTCATTCTTTGAGAACACCAAGATTATGGTGCTAATCTTCACAATAGGAATGAAGCCAGATTTCCAACATTTTTTCTCCTGATCTCAATTTGCTAGAGCTCCCGTATTAAAATCAGCAGTGGGAGATGTGCTTTTAGCTACTCGCGTGGTGATTATCTGTTTTAGTGATAGGCACAGGTCAAGGAAACTTAAGTAATAAGTTTAGTTTACCTTTGACATCTCCCATTTTTCAAAACTTTTGCTCCATCTTAATCACTTTCACTTTCATGTAAGTTTGCATCCTGGGACTCATTATTATTATGCTTCTTCATTTAAAAACAACTCAAAGAAGTGATAATGTCCAAACTCCAAAGAAGTTAAGCAATAATGTTGACTGACAAACAATGGAGGTAATCGTTACAGGCAAGGAAACTTTTATGCCAAAGCATACAATGGTGCTTCTTGGAATGGAGACCTCCTTCACAGTGAAGTTTTCAGACCGGTGAAGAATGTGGGAGTGCCTGGATTTATTTAACCAGTCTAGTCTAGATGCTGTGGAAGCTGTCTGCTATTTGGATGCTGTTTATTCTGATTTATTTTTTCTTATCTCAATATTTTCAGAAAATTTGGATACAAGAAAAAAATCTTTTAAAATGGCATGGTATGTGGTTTCAGGATTTGGCTTACGTATGGGAAAGCTATGATTTTACTCAGTTAACTTGTAGACTTGCATATTTCCAAGAGGGTAGGCTTTGGAAAGGGTATACTCGCTTACTCGGGGGCAATTGTGCCCTGTAGATAGGGCAGCGGAGGAGAGTAGGATCTCACCATATCTAAGAGAACCACTTACTTTCTACTTTAGTGAATCCAGTTAGAGTTAGTGAGTCTGGTGACTAATTCCAAGCAGAAGCAGATGTCAAGTTGACTTAAATGAACTCAGGCACACAGCACTGAAAAGACTTACGACACAAAATAGCTACATTTTAATGAATGAAGACGTTTGTGGGGGATTTAAAATTTGCAACCTTTTTCATTGCCTCGGACAAATAAACTGCTGTTGCTTTATGCTGCTAGAACATTTGTTATCAGGTTGACATGGCATTAGCTTAAAGCCAGGAGATTTGGTTTCTATATTCCAAGTGTTTTTCTTGTAAAACAGGTAAATCCAAAGTCTCATTATTCTTTCCAGTGATAGAGAAATTTATACAGATTGGACAAGAACTTTTGCTTTTAACAGCCTGATCAGATAAGCATAAACGGAAAAATTAAATGGCAGTGATTTTATTAATATTTGCTTTACTTTATTTCACTAAATTTTCTGACTTATATTCTTACCTTAGCACAGATACAGATAACTCATTTAATATTAAGACTCAATGACACACAAGAGGAGATATTGAATAAGGCCACTTAGGAAAAAAAAATCCCAAAATTCAGAAAGACACACACACACACACACAGAATTACATAGATGGGGAGGGAGTCATTTGGGTATACAAAAATATAGAAAATAAAGCAAGTTAAGGAAAAAGGCAAAGACTTTACTCATGTATACACCCTTTAAAAGTATATCCATATGCCTATGTACATATATATGTATAAGATATAAAAACAACAACGTCCTACGTAATATTTGGAGATCCTCGCATTCTTTAAGAACATTCTCTCAGAACAACAAAACAGCCTCCCCTCATTTTCAATAGAGCTGCTGCTTTTGAGAATAGCAAAATCTATTGCTATTGCCATTTTTTAAATAAAAAAATGATCTTTAATAGAACTTGATAGTTGGTGGTCATGTAAAGTCACACTGTTTTACCTCCATTGTTTTAAATTGTTCCATTGCCTGCTGCTTGTCCCCTAGGCCAGCACATGTTAAGGCTGAGGTCCCTGTCACTGTGCACCATCTGCTTGGGTCTCCTGTCGGAAGCCAGAACTGCTGCATTCCACACTGTGCCATGCATTGCTACATGATCTTAATTTCTCAATTAGTTATGTTTTCCTTCTCAGGAAATGGCATTTTATTTAAAAACTTTGTATAATCAGGATTTCTATTTGAGGAAATAAAAAAAAACTGACAGCAAAATTGCATAGTACTAGTCCTCATGTTTTTAGACATTTTATGAAACAACGAGTTATTTCATGTATTAGACTCATGTATCAGAGAATAGGTACATAATTTCTATGACATTTAATGCAAGCTAAGGAAAAACGTAATCTCTTTTTTCCATACCTACATTACAATGCAAAATTAATTGGTAAGTCAAAGAAATTTCAAAAAATTAGAGAGAGTTTGTTGAGAATAAAAGAGAAAATGAAGACAGCCCGTAACTCCACTGCTCTAAAATGCTATATTGATTTCTGTGTATTTTCTTCCTTTTTGTCTCAATAATACACCTTACAAAAGTAAATTAAATTAAATCAATTTATACTAAATATAATATTGAAATATTACTAATTTTACATCAATTGTCTTTCGGGTTTCAGTGGCACCAATATTTGGCCACAATGAAATTTTAATAACTTTTTTTTTTTTTGAGACAGAGTTTCACTCTTGTTGCCCAGGTTGGAGTGCAATGGTGGGATCTCGGCTCACCGCAACCTCTGCCTCCTGAGTTCAAGCGATTCTCCTGCCTCAGCCTCCCGAGTAGCTGTAATAGAGGCATGCACCACCATGCCTGGCTAATTTTTGTATTTTTAGTAGAGACGGGGTTTCACCATGTGGGCCAGGCTGGACTCAAACTTTAACCTGAAGTGATCCACTTGCCTCGGCCTTCCAAAGTGCTGGGATTGCAGGTGTGAGCCACTGAGCCCGGCCTTAATAACATTTTAATATAATCATTTTCAAAAGTTGAATAGAAATGAAAATCCACAGATCTATGTTTTAATGTATATGTCATAATCAAATTAGAAATTATTTTTAAAATATTAAGATAAAGTATAAGTGAGTCTCTTTGTAACATAAAGCCATTTACAGAGCCCAGAGGAAAACACTCATGAATAAGATTAAAATGACTGTATTGCAGAAAATTAATTTAAACAAACTAAAAAGAGGCCAGGAGCGGTGGTTTATGCCTGTAATCCCAGCACTTTGGGAGGCCGAGGCAAGTGGATCACTCGAGGTCAGAGTTCGAGACCAGCCTGGACAACATGGCGAAACCTCGTCTCTACTAAAAATACAAAAATTAGCCAGGCATGGAGGTACATCTGCAACCCCAGCTACCTGGGTGGCTGAGGCAGGGGAATCGCTTGAACCTGGGAGGCAGAGTTTGCAGTGAGCCAAGATCTATCACTCCGTTGCACTCCAGCTTGGGCGACAGAGCAAGACTTTGTCTCAAATAAATAAATAATTAATAAACAAACTAAAAAGAGATATAATACAAGAAGAGCATACTTTCCAGTTTTCTTAGTTAGAAATAGCTCTGAAAAAATAATAGAAAGGTAGGCAAGTACATAAACAGAATTTTCAAAGAAAGAAATTCCAAATTTGATGAATAAATTTACATTTATTGAACTATTATAAAATGTATAAAATATTAAGTAATATCCTAACATTTAAGAACCTTCAATTAATTATTGTGCTGCTTTTAAAAGCAAGGACTCTGGACCCAGACAATCAGACAATCTGTGTGAAATCTCAACTCGAAAACCTGGCTGGTCTTGTGATCTCATACCATTCGCTTAACCTTTCTGTAGTTCAGTTTCCTCACCTGCAAAATGGAGAGAATAACTCATTGGGTTGTTTTGAGGATTAAATAAGTTAGTGTTCATAAAAATTCATCAGAAATTTTGCACACAGTAAGCACGGCATATATGTTACCTCTTAATATATTTTATCTACCTTAATGATAAATATTGGAGAGATTGATCATATTCCATATTGGTAAAGATGAAGGAGAAGAGCACTTTCATGCTCTACTATATTGGAAACTGGCACATCCATTAATGGCAATTTTAAATGAATAAGCATTTTCATTTTCAGATATTCATCTTTAAAAATGATGATATACTTGTACGTGTATTTATGGAAAGACAAAACAGAAAACGTCCAAGGAGGTGTTCACCAAAGCATTGTTTGTAATAGCAAAAAAGTAGGAATAATATTTAAGCGTGTTGCTAAAGGGCACTGATTTAAACTTTTTGATGCATTCGTATAATGAAGCTTTACACAGCCATTGGAAAATATAGGTCTATGTGTAGGTTAGTATATTGAGGTTTATTTATTTATTATTATTATTTTAGAGACAGTGTCTTGCTCTATTGCCCAGGCTGGAGTGCAGTGGAGCAATCTCAGCTCACTGCAGCCTCCACCTCGCCAGTTCAAGCACTTCTGCCTCAGTCTCTCCCAAGTAGCTGGGATTATAGGAACGCACCACCTCGCCCAGCTAATTTTTTGTATTTTTAGTAGAGACGCGGTTTCACCATGTTGCCCAGGCTGGTCTCAAACTCCTGGGCTCAGGCAATCCATCCACTTTGGCCTCTGTAAGTGCTAGGATTACAGGCGTGAGCCACCACGCCCAGCCGGTATATTGACATTTATAATAAAAATTCACTCAGAGTTATGCTTAAATATTGAGATAAAAATACCTGAAAAATAAAAGATAGACTATTCACAGAGCATCTCTCTGTAGAGTATCACTGGAGTGATAGGGAAGGGAATTTTTTTTCTTTTCATTTTATATCCTTTTATAGTGTTGAAAGTTTTTATAACTAACGTGTGTTACTTTTATAATAATACTCTACATTTTCTTCATGTATTTAAAAACAAGGACGACCAATAAATAAATTAAGTCTGTCTGTCTCAGACTCATTAGGAAAAATAAAATAAAATTTTAAATTAATCCTAAGGTTAAACTCAGGGCAGCCTACAAACTTTGGTGTCAATTTTTTTTCTCTCTCTCTTACCTTTTTTGGTAATTCTGTCTCTTTATAATACGTTTATTAGCAGATTGCTGAGAGCAGTGGCCCTCCAAATAGTTTGCATCAAAATCAAATGCGTGCTTCTGCAGAATAAAAATAGATTGGTTTCGTAGGAGTGGGCCTCTTACTTTTGTGTTTTTAAGAAGACTCCCCACAAAATTATCCGAGGGCCACCAAAGTCTGGAGAAGTACTTCCGCAATGCAAAGGAAATGGGCTGGATGTGAGAGCTGTTTTTCTAGCCTTTGTCTGACAACTGTTAGATTTATGACCTTAAACAGTCACATTGAACCTCCTGACAAGTAAGGTTATTCATCTGTTGAATTACAACATTGACATAGATGAATTCCTAGATCCTTTTTAATGCATAGTATGTAGACATTTAATAAATTTTTAAAAATTAAGTTTTAGCAAAGAATATTTTTTAAAAATTAAATGACACCAGGAATTGATCAATTCTCTTAACTGTGCACAACTAGTGCGTCTCTAATTGATGCAGTACGTTGATAAGGCAATTTGGAAATGCATCTAAACAGCCATAAATTGTTTATGTCATTTAACCTGTGCTGAGAATTTATCTAAACAAATACTTACATTTTAAGATGACACGGTATCTTATACATGTATGATGCATATATGTGATATATGTTATATATATTATCATTCATTGTATTATTGATAATGGTAGTTTTGAGGGGGAAATTTCTGTTTAACATTTCAGAAAAGTCAATATTATGACAATTCCTTCTAAGAACTTTCTATGCAGCATTATAGGTATAGTAATTGATAGATTAGAATACTATGGATAACGTGCATAGTATGTCAAATGAGAGAAGCCATTTGCCAAAATACATGCATCATATTTGCAATTCCATGAAATATACAGGAGATTTTAAATGTTCTGTTGAAGAAAAAGGCAACGAATTATAAACATGAGCCTCAACTTTAAACAAAACTTACTATCTTACATTTAGTATATATTTTAATACATTCTAAGTATTTAGTCCTAATACTCAGATTTTTTTTTTTGAAAATGTTGGGAGTATATAATAATAGTGGGATTAGATTTGGTATCATAGCTGTTTGTGAAAACATTCTCCCTTTTCGCTAGAAAAGATTTTAGTGAGCGGGTACAGTAGGCAGAAAAATATAACCCCTAAGATTCCTGGCCCCTGATGTGCACACTCTGTATTATTCCCTCTCCTTCAACATGGGTGAGACATTTGAACATGATGGGACAGCCAATTCCTTCTTAAGTAATTCAAAACTGTCTTAGCAGACTGGATAGAGAGAGAGATTCGAAATGAAAGGTATTCTCTTACTGTCCTTGAAAACCTAAGCTGCCATTTTGCAAGAGGAGGAGAAAATGTGGTTAGGACCTGAGGCTGGCTTCTAGGAGTTGAAGTTGATGATCCCTGGCCAACAGCCAGCAAGAAAACAGGAAACACAGCTCTCCAGCTTGAGGGAACTGAATCCTGTCAACAATCAGTGATTTGGAAGAGGACTCTTAAGTCCCAGGTAAGAACACAGCTCAGCCCCACCTTGATTTAAACCTGGTTGAGACCTTGAACAGAGAAACCAGCTAACTCTTATCTGCACTCCTATCCCATGAAAACTGTAAGATAATTCATGTGTACTGGTTTAAGTGGCTAAGTTGGTGGTAATTTGTTATGAAGCATGAGGGGTATAACCTCTTGTCATTCTTTGAAGGTCCCACAGGATCGAGTGCATTGTATTTATACTTGTGAATAAATACTTGTTCAGTAAATATATAAAGAATTGCCAACTTGTTCTTTATCTGGCTTTTGGATATTTTACAATAATATATGAAGTCCTAGCTAAATCCTTTCTATGATTCAAAAGCAAAAAAAAAAAAAGTTATTAAAATCACCACTTAAATCCAAGGTGAAAAAAACAGTAAGAAATGAAAATAAAGTACTGAGATTCTTTTCCATTAATCACCTGGGAATATTTTTGCCTTATAGTATTACAGTCAGATCAAGTATTTTGGAAAGGAAATGGAGAAAGAATTATGAAATGTATCCTTGGTTAATAAAATATGGACAATATTCAGTACATTAAATGACACAGTTACAGCAGACTGAAGCTTATTTGTTTGCAATAATATCTAGTTAAAAAAATAAAATGATACTATGCTTCCTGTTTTCTTGATAACTAAACCCACAACATGAAGTCAATCACATAAATCTATAAGACTTCTAAATCCTACTTCTATCACTTTCAGCATGTGAATACATTTTAACTTTTAATCAATTTACTGAAGAATTTCAATATGAAGAAGCATAAACAAGAAAAGGTTTCATTTGTTTTGATCACTGCTTCTCAGCTGTCCTGTATGGAACCCTATTTCGTGTTGAGTATCAGTTTTCTCAATAACGTGTTGGCTAAATTCCACAATGTTCACTAACTTTTAGTTGTTTGAACATGTTTCATTATGGCATTTAAGGTCAGTCATATGCAAATTCCATATATACTTTCCATTCTTGCTACTTTCAGTCATCTCTTTTATCTAACCCCCTAGCTATACATCCAAGCAGCATCCCTTTGAAACTGTATCACATATGCAAACTGTATCCCACTTACCCAGTGCTGTAGTAATCCTTGAAAAATGTAGACTATTGTTGCCTCTCCACCCTCACCCCCAACACACCTTTAATGCCCAACTATCATACAGAGTGCGTAGTCTCCTTGAGAACCAGGAGCTCAACATGACAGTAAGGGAATGAAAGATGTCAATTCTGGTTTCCCCTTTCCTTGGCGAACTCCACCATGGCACCTCTTACTAATTATTATTTATTTTTTCAAGGTAGCAAATGAACATATCAGAAAGACCTCTGGATATCAGAAATCCAGCCTAGTAAAGGAACTCTTATTTTCTCTTCCTTGTATGCACACCCAGTCTCCAAGAGTGATTCTGTCGGAATTTTTCTTCCTTGTGTCTACCGAAAAACAATTTTTCTATGAACAATGCATGTTTCGAAGGTTCAACGACCTTGTCACCATTCTGTTATTTTCTTTTATTGACTAGGCTCGGTAGAATTGTGGGTTGGGAGTGATGTGTGTTGAAACTGTTGACTCAGTAAAATTAGAAATGGATTTTATTAATGCTTGTTACTCTCACTGTTGACCTTAGAAGCAATTATTTTATTGAATCATAAAAGCATAGCCTTAAAGATTTGTCATGCAGTGGCAGATATTGAGTCATATTTAATGTTTCCTTCACTGAGGATAGTAGACAGTGTAATTATTAATAGATGTTTTGGGCTCGGTATGATGGCTCATGTTGGTAATCCCAGCACTTTGGGGGCCAAGGCAGGTGGATCACCTGAGGTCAGGAGTTCAAGAGCAGCGTGGCCAACATGCTGAAACCCCATCTCTACTAAAAATATAAAAAAAAAAAAAATTAGCAGGGCGTGGTGGTACATGCCTGTAATCCCAGCTAGTCAGGAGGCTGAGGAAGGAGAATCACTTGAACATGGAAGGCGGAGGTTGCAGTAAGCCAAGATCGTGCCACTGTACTCCATCCTAGGCAACAAGAGTGAAAACTTTGTCTCAAAAGCAACAACAACAACAAAACCAGATGTTTTGGTTTTGGCATTAGAGAAGAAATAATGCTGACAGTTTCTCTGTTGATTTGCAAGTTTAAAGGAACCATAGAATAAAACAAAGGTGTTGGTCACAAGGGGAATGATAACCAAATTATTCAAACTGAAATGGGCTACAACATTAGAATGGACTGTGAGTAAAGCCAACTTGAGATTCGGCCACTGAAGTAACAAATTAAGAACTTTTCTTTTCCTTGTCCATAGATGGTACTGACTTTCACCTTGGGCGGGAATTTTTTCTGTAGGTGCAGTACTTTGTCTGTAGATACAGATGTAGGGACAGAAAACATTGCACAAGGTAGCTTGGGAGGTCACTATATAGAGAAATACAACTAATCAACAAACATTTGTTGAGCACCTATTTTGAACAATAAAAACTGCTATTGTATCATCATTTGGGACCTATACATTCAATAAGTTTTTCATTATTTGCCTACCAACTTGCTAATGCAACTCATAACTATTAATCAGCTACTGTCAAGCAGGCTCTGTGCTGACCTGTAACTACTTTATCTTTACCATGGTGACTTTATCATGAAATAGATTATAATTATTATTATTTGTGTTTTTACTAGTACTATACTAGTAAAAAAACTGCAGCTATAAGTGAACAGTCTAACCTTCATCATTCTTTGAGGAACTAGTAATAATTCCTGGGTAATTAGTGTGCTTTTTTTACGGAATTTAAATACAAACACATAGACCTCATACCTAATACGAAATATTCAAGACTCAATTTCAATTTCACCTGGTGGATTTTTCTCTTTTTTGAGTGGAAAACATTCTACCATCTGACTATGCTCACATACATGACCATTTTCAATATAAGCCACTCACAAGGAGTGCTAAAAGTCACCAGTGTGTCTAAAACCTCAATGTGAACTGTTATACTTCTTTAGCAATTGTGTTCCTTTAACCTGAGATTACTACACAAAATGCCCATGGGGACTTCCTGCAAGTTCTCTACTACTTATTTGTAATTCTCTGCTCTGGCTAATATATCAAGATCTTGACACACACACACACTCACACACACACTCACATACACAAATACAGTTGAATTCATCTGAACTCCACACACACACAGTTGAATTCATCTGAACTACACACAGACACACACACACACACACACACACGGACATACATCTTATAACTCCATCTCTTGGAGGTGGAGCTCCTATTATCTCTGAAAGATATTCCCTGCTAGGAAAAGATGGTAGAGGGATATGAGAATAAACCAAACAGTTTTTACATATAATAGGCACAAAGAGAAGAGGAAAAGATTTTCAAAAATGACATCTTTGATGTCCAACAGCTGCCCAGAAACATGAACACAACACCCTCTCTTAACAATTTGTTAAATTACTATTGGCCAAAGTGGCAGCTTCAAACAAAAACGTCTTTTATATTTGTGGTCTTAAATTGAAATACATGTCAACTTTTACAGCTTCTATTCTCTCAGGAGAGCTTTAAGAAGTTGATTGCTGAGGGGAGTTAATTCAATAATGGATACAGCTGCTCCAGCAGCCAATCCAGTCGTCTGTCATATTGCCAGCAAGGTAGTGGATTTTTTCAAGTCCAGGAAGTAAAAAGGACAGGGGAAATATGATGAAATTGGCCATTATAAAAATTTGGCTAAAACCTGGGAACATATGCCTTTACTTTTATATTAAGTGCCAGAGGACTTAGAAAATAACAAGCTCATTGCCTTGAATGTAAACTGCCTAAAGGGATGAAACTTTGAGAAATTGTTTAACCATTTATTTCATATTGAGTAATAACATTTATCCCCCTAATTTTTACCCCAATCTAATTGTTTCCTTACACAACAAAAATTAATTTAAAAATTATGTTAGAGAAACTTGTGTTAGATGCAAATTGATGCATAGAATCACTGAGTAAGTTACAACAGCAAAAATAATAAAAATAATAAGAATAGGAAATTCTCAGGTGATAGAAATAAAGAGAAAATAAAAACCAGAACAATTAGAAGTGAGCTGATATGGTTATGTAAGGCTTAGGGAACATAACAGAAGTCATCTGATCAGCATCCATGGAAAACGAGGTCTTGAGTACTTGCATGGCAAGAATTGTAACTGTAACTCCTGTATTCACAGAGATACCATGTGTCCTGCACCATCAGTAGAACAAAGCTATCTATTATTCCAGGAGGTTAACAAGCTACCTGGGTAATACATGCAAAAAAAATTTTAAGTGTCCTTTGAATAACAGAATCATGCATTCATGTGATTGTCTTTCACACAGAATTAGAGTAAATTTATACAAACTATGGATTCTCTAAAAGCAAAATTATGTGTAAAATTGTTTTGGGACCAGTGAGAGCTTTGGTGTACCTGGCAGAAGCAAACACAAAGCTAGTCTGAAGGGTCTTTCAAAAGCCAGGACTTGGGATGTTTTCATAAAAGAAAATGATATGGACAGGAAGCAGGAAAATACTGGGTAGAAAAGGACAATTCCCACCCTCAAGCCTTGAAACCTGTGGCCCTAAATGGGGAAAGGCATTCCTGTTTTTGTGCCCAAATGTTGCCTTTTCCAAGACCACTCTGGCCCACCACACCCCATCCTATGCCCATATAAATCCCAAGCTCCACTGGGAGAGCAACAGAGTGACACGGCAGAGAAGAGAAGAGAAGCCTCAGCCCCCTGAGTAGCTGGGATTACAGGCATGTGCCACTTCGGCCATCTAATTTTTGTATTTTTAGTGTAGATAGGGTTTCACCATGTTGGGCAAGCTGGTCTTGAACTCCTGACCTCAAGTGATTTGCCCACCTCAGCCTCCCAAAGTGCTGGGATTACAGGCATGAGCCACCATGCCTGGCCTCATTAGTTTTAAATATTTTTCTATTAATTCCTTAGAAGTTTCTGTACAAGATTATGGCATCTGCAAAGGATATCGTATTACTTCTTTTCCAGTCTGGATGCTATTTATTTTATTTTCTTGAGTAATTGCTGTGGCTAGAACTTCCAGTACAATAGTGAACATCAGTGGCAAAAACTGACATTTTCACCTTGTTCCTGATCTTAGGAAGATAGAATTCAGTCCCTTACCTTTATTTACAATGTCATCTCTGGGTTTTGTATATCACTTACCAGACGAAGAGAAGGAGAGAAGAGAAGGAGTGTATGAATGTCTAGAGGAGTTCGACCAGGGATGGTCAGAGAGGAGAGAGGAGATAGGCCGCAGGACAGCTGAACTCCAGGGGAAGATCATCTTCCCACTCCATCCCCTTTCCAGCTCCCCATCCATCCTGCTGACAGCCACCTCCACCACTCAATAAAATCCCCACATTCACCATCCTTTAAGTCAGTGTGACCTGATTCTTCCTGGATGCTAGGGAAGGACCTGAGTACCAAGAGGGCAGTGTGTAAAGGGCTGTCACCCTGACTCTCCACTGAGCTGGTTTAACACTTAGCCATCTTCTGACAGCAACTGCTAAAACAGCATTAATTGTAACACACTCCTAGATGCTACTGTGGAGCTGGAGCCCAAAAGCGCCCACGTCAACTCCTACAGCTGCCCATCTGCATGCTCCCCTCCTGGAGCAAATGGGCCACAACCAGTCGCAAGTCCCAGAAGAGGGTCAGGGAATTCTCTCATTTCAGAAACAAGACCTGCTGCAGATAAAGTAATAATAAACATGCAGAGAGCATAAGAAAAAAAGTCTTCCATGAATGTAAGCAAGCCGAACCAATACCACAGAGGAGGATTTGATCATAAGAACCTCAACATGGATGAAGAATCAAAAAACAAAAACAAAAAAAATGCAATAATTATGTTTAACATGTGTAAATATATAAGGCAATGAAAATTTCAGTAAAGGAACATAAACCCCATTTGACCTTATAAGCAAAGCATACCATGGTTTGAAATAGAACTAGAACTTCCAAACATATAGTAGTGAATGCATTTGCATGTGCATGTACACACACACACTCATATTATATATATGTATATGAGTGTGTGTGTGTGTATATATATATATATCTATTTGAAGAGGGAATTGTTAAACTTTAGATTTTAGAAAATTACCCAGAATTCAACCAAAAGAGGTAAAGATATAGACATTACAAAGATGCTACACGGAGACAAAAAGTAGGAAGAATAGAGAATGAAAATAGTCAACATACACCTAATAGTTTGAGGAAGAGTGAATAAAGATAATGGTGGCCAGGCGCGGTGGCTCACGTCTGTAATCCCAGCACTTTGGGAGGCCAAGTCGGGCAGATCACAAGGTCAGGAGATTGAGACCATCCTGGCTAACATGGTGAAACCCCATCTCTACTAGAAAATACAAAAACAAAATTAACTGGGCACGGTGGCGGGTGCCTGTAGTCCCAGCTACTCGGGAGGCTGAGGCAGGAGAACTGTGTGAACCCAGGAGGCAGAGGTTGCAGTGACCTGAGATTGCGCCACTGCACTCCAGCCTGGGTGACACAGCAAGACTCCATCTCAAATAATAATAATAAATAGTAATAATAATAATAACGGCTAATAAGTAATGAGAGGTGACAACGTGCTAGCAGCCCTTGCTCGCTCTCGGTGCCTCCTCGGCCTCGGCATCCACTCTGGCCACACTCGAGGAGCCCTTCAGCCAGCTGCTATGCTACGAGGGCCCCTCTCTGGGGCTGGCCAAGGCTGGAGCCGGCTCCCTCTGCTTGGGGGGAGGTGTGGAGGGAGAGGCACTGGCGGGAGCGAGGCATGCACATGGCACTCACAGGCCAGCCTGGGTTCCGGGTGGGTGCAGGCTCGGTGGGCACCACACTGGGCACGGTCGGATGGCACCTGCTGGGCTTGATCAGAGGCTGGGTCCCGTTCGTGGACTGCCTTTCCCTCTTCGCAGGGTCATTGGCCACGATGGTGGGTCTCTGTCTCTTTCTCGCTCCCCCTCTTTTCCTCTTGGTTGTCTGGGACGAGCTCCCTCTGGGCTGCCAGAGTGCCCCAGCTAGGAGCTGCAAAGTCCGAGGGCAAGTGCCAGTGAGAGGTGAAGCCTGCTGGGCTTCTGGGATGGTGGGGACTTGGAGAACTTTTCTGTCTAGCTAAAGGTTTGTAAATGCACCAATCAGCACTCTATGTCTAGCTAAATGTTGTAAACGCACCAATCAGCACTCTGTGTCTAGCTAAAGGTTTCTAAACGCACCAATCAGCGCTCTGTGTCTAGCTAATCTGGTGGGGACTTGGAGAACTTTTGTGTCTAGCTAAAGGATTTTAAACACACCAATCAGCACTCTGTGTCTAAAGGATTGTAAATGCACCAGTCTGCACTCTGTCAAAATGGACCAATAAGTTCTCTGTAAAACGGACCAATCAGCTCTCTGTAAAATGGACCAATCAGCAGGATGTGGGTGGGGCCTGATAAGGGAATAAAAGCAGGCCATCAGAGCCAGCCATGGCAACGTGGTGTGGTCTGCTTCTGCACTGTGGAAGCTTTGTTCTTTGGCTCTTCACAGTGAATCTTCCTATTGCCTACTCTTCGGGTCTGTGCCACTTTTATGAGCTGTAACACTCATTGGGAAGTTCTGCAGTTTCACTCCTGAGGCCAGCAAGACCACGAACCCACTGGAAGGAATGAACAGCTCCAGACCTGCCACCTTTAAGAGCTGTAACACTCACCTCGAAGGTCTGCAGCTTCACTTGTGAAGTGAGCGAGACCACGAACCCACCCAAAGGAAGAAACTCTGGACACATCTGAAGGAACGAACTCCAGACACACCTTATCTAAGAACTGTAACACTTACCGCGAGGGTCCGCAGCTTCAGTCTGGAAGTCAGCGAGACCAAGAACCGACCAATTCCGGACACATTAGGGTACAAATAATTTTTAAGGAGCTGATTAAATACATTACTACTTACATAAAATATTAGGATAAAAATAAATCTACCTGGCAACACAGCGTTGTGAAACTGTAGAATGGCAAGAAGAAGAAAAAGACAGGTAGAGAGAAAAGCCATATTCCCTGCTAGGAACAATGGCTAGGTTGAAACTAGACTTCCCAGCACAGCCATGTTACTAAGTGCTAAGGGAAAATAGCTCAATTTATGTATAAAACAAAACTACAGTTCCATGTTCACTGTGTGCAGTGGAAATAAAGACATTGCACATGATATGTAGAGATCATTCCAATTCTAGGTGGTCACCAACAAAAGTACTATGTTGTTATTATACTTCAGGAAGAAGAAAGAAACTTAACTTCAGAATTTTGAAGTAGAATAAAGAAAAAAAAAATTGTGGACAGGCATGGTGGCTCTTGCCTGTAATCCCAGCACTATGAGAGGCTGATGCGGGCAGATCGCTTGAGCTCAGGAGTTTGAGACAAAGTCTGGACAACACGGCAAAAACTCATCTCTACAAAAAAAAATTTGCTGGGTGTGGTGGTGCATGCATGTATTCCTAGCTACTCAGGAGGCTGAGATGGGATAATCACCTGAGCCTAGGGAGGTCAAGGCTATAGAGAGCTGTGATTGCACCACTGTACTCCAGCTTGGGTAACAGAGCAAGACTCTGTCTCAAAAATAAATAAATTAGATATGTAAATAAATAAAAGTGAGTTTAGTTAAAAAATAAAATAGTTAAAAATAAAATTACCATTGACTTAAGAAAACAAAGGTAATATTAAATATTTTGGAGAATTAATAAGCAAGACTTAAGTAGTTAATATGAAACTTAGAATAACAAGAAATGGGGCAGTTGGGTAATTAGAAATGTAACATTGTGAGTTCTTGATGTTATTTGGGAGAAAGCTGGGGATGGTGGATGGCGATATACTTTGTAAAGTCAATAATTAAATTTCCACCAGAAATTTGAAAACAAAATAATGAATTAAAGTAAAAGTAATTAGACAATAGAATACAGTGAAGAGTAGAGAATGATGACACACAAAAATAAATAATACCCAATTTACAAAATGAAAAAATGATTTTTTGAAAATATTAAAAAAACTGATAACTTGTAGTAAGGCTGAACCAAAAAGGGCCAAAGCACAAGTAATTGATAATAACAACAAGAAAGTCAACACATATGAACCACTGCTTTTCACTGTCTTCTCTTGCGAGACCTTGTCTGTCTTGTTAGCTCTCCACTCTCTCCTCCTGTGTATGCTGCCAACCTCACTGCGTACGCTCTGGTATGAAATAATTATTAGAAAGTACTTTGTAAGTTTCAGATACTCAAGCTTGAGGGCTTCAGTAGATGAAAAGAATTGGAGTTGCTTTCTTTGTTATGGTTTCAGCATGGAAGCCTTTCCAGTTGTGAGTAATTTGCTGATTCATTGTCAAGAGGAGACAAATGAAACAAAAGGGAAAATTCGTGTGCTGCTTAAACACAGAATGAACGAGGTGAGAAGTTGAACAGATGGGATGGGCTAAGGCAAAGAACATCTCACTACTACAAAGATGTGCTATGTTGATTGTGTGTGTTCGTGTATGTGTGTGTGTATTTACTTTAACATGCAAATAAATGAGCCAGTGATGAGTAAATGTAGACCTGTTGTGACATCCTCAGAATAAGAACAAAACAAAATGAAAAAACTAACTCCTGACTTTATATACTCATCTAGTTTCTTCCCTTTTAAAGACAGCTCTTTAAAAATGACCTGGCTGTGCTTATGCGTTTTTATCTCCCAGTTTTTCTTAACTTCCTCCAGTACAATTTTCATTCCCATCACTTCATTGAAATACCTAGCACTTTCATCCTGGTCGCACAGTTCTAAATATAATATACAACTCAGAGCCTCCATCTTACTTGGTCTATAAATAGCACACAAAACATTGTCTTTCTTGAGACATTTTCTTCCAGGAAAACCATTACCCTGGTTTCTCTTAAACTGGCTGTTTCTTTCTATCCTCCTTGACCTCTGTATATGACAGTGCCTGAGGAATCAGACGTTAAACTTCTCTTCTTGTCTATACTGACCCTGTATTTTGGTCTCATGATTTTATCTACCATTCATTTGCTCGTTCACCCAAATTTAGTATCTTCCAGGTCCCTCTCTTGAGTTTAAACTCATATGTCCTGCTACATACCGTATATGTCTTATTGGATGTCAAATAGCCATCTCAATTTTAACATATTTGAGATATGCCTGTCTCCAAATCTGCTATTCCATGAGAGATTTTCAGTAAATGTCCCCTTATTTCCTCCTCCTTATGCCATCAAAGTCACCAAAAACTTTTCAGCTTTTCCATTAAAAGATGTCCATAATCCAACTATTTCTCACTACCTTTTCTGCTACATCACCTCTCCAACATCAATGTTGCATTCCTTTCTTACCTGAACTACTGAAAAAGCCTCTTGATTGGGTTCCCTGTTTCCATTGCCATGAGCAGAATTAATTCCCCTCTTAAAAGGCAGCATCATTCTTTTAAAATGTAAATCATATCATACCATTCCTTTCAAATCCCTCTCTGGCTTTTCATCCCATTTAAAATACAATTTTAAGTCTTAACCACAACCTACACAATCCTGACTACTTCTATGATCCTCATTTTCTTTCATTCTTCTTCTTCTTCACTTTGTTACAGACAAACCTGTCCTGATGATGTCTCCAAAATGTATCAAGCATATTATTGCCTCAAATGCATTCTAATTGCTAGTCCCTCTTCTAGAATGTTCTTCACATAATGAATCCACTAACTGTAAGAGGATTTTTGCCCTCTCCCATTGCCATATGAGCTTTGCAATACCTCCTTTGAGGAGGAGAATCCATTTCTGTCCAGCTGACATGAAGGTTGACCATGTCACTTGGTTTTGCTAACAGAATATGAGCACAAGTGACAAATGCCACTTTTGTGGAATGATTGAGAGCTGCCTTATGGTTCTTTGATTGTTTTTAAGGAACCTGCATATCTATTGTTGAGTTGACTTTTAATATGTGTCTATGTATTCCCTGAACCCACAGTGAAATCTATTTACAATTTATTGGAGGAAATTAAAGAATTACAGTGTGCTTATCTAGGTCTATAGAACTTGGAATAAGAACTGTACGAATTGGATGTCAGTAAGATTCTGAAATTCATTAAATTCAGAAGCAAGATCTCAAAACCAGA
Source organism: Homo sapiens (assembly GCF_000001405.40). NCBI lineage: Eukaryota > Metazoa > Chordata > Mammalia > Primates > Hominidae > Homo > Homo sapiens. Next base: position 239,251,519 of record NC_000001.11, on the reverse strand, counting down.
GGTCGCCCTAAGAACATCAGGTGAACCCTCTTCCAACCTAGTTACTTCACAGAAATTTTATGGAAGGCATTGGATTTTTCATTAATCAATAAATGTGAATTTGGACCAATATTGTCTAGACCTTGGGGAAAGTGTTGGCCCTGTTTACATCTAGGGTACATTTAGAGAAAACTTATAGCAAACTCTCGATTTTACCTGTTAAGTATAAACTATCCATTAATAATAAAGTATTTTCAGTTTTTCTTTTTTTTAATGAAAGGTGGTTCCAAACTTGCAAGTACCCTCATGCAAATCTACTTTATAAAGCAGAATCAAAACTTAAATGAAGTCAATCAAAGATCATTTGAGTCTTTCTATCCCCAGTCACATAAAATTATACCAAGATGAGTTCTCCAGAGCAAGATGAAGCCTGTTTGAAGTGTGAGTGATGTAGCTTTGATCACAGTTATTCTGAGGTTGAAAAGATAACAGAATTAAACTGAACGATGGGCTTCTGAGTTCACTGGCTTGGGATTATCTATTTCTGTGTAATAAGCCATCATAGAACTTAGTGGCTTCCGTTATTCTCTCTTACAGCTTTGTGGACTACTGGGCCCAGCTGAATGGTTCTCACCTGAGGTCTGTCATGTAGTAGAGGAAGCTGCAGTCAGCAGAAGGCATGACTGATTGCATGCCAAAAATGGCTCAGTCACATGGGTGGAATTTGATGCCAGTTCCTGGTTGAGAGCTCAGCTATGGCTATTGACTGGATATCTACACAGGGCTGTCCTCGTGGCATGGGAGTCTCACAATGACAACTGAGTTCTCAGAAGGAGAGTGCCTACAGCAGGCACTCCAAAAGAGGTAGGCAGAAGGTGTAACACTTCATATGACCTAGCTTTGGGAATCGTGCAATGTTACTTAGTTCTGCTTTTTACCAATCAAGTGAGTCACAGGCTGAGTCCAGATTCAGGGGAAAGGAAACTAGACTACATCCCTTTATAGGGAGAATGACTAAGAATTTGTAGCCACCTATAATCCAGTATATGCTCTGAGGTCTCAGTTGCATCTGTGGTTAGACTAGAGATATCTGGATCCGTATTAACACCTACTGTCAACAAACAGAGCAAACAGTAGGCTTCTAAGGAGATTCATAAAATGACTAAGCTGTCGAGATGTTGTACACATACAAACACAGACATACACATATGCGCACACACAAGTATCTTATTGCTAATGGAATATTACTAAGGATGAAGAAAGGCCACTTTTTTGAGTGGATTTTATTTCTCCTTTACTGAAAACTATCAGCACTTTAAGAAATATGAAATAATTTTAAATGCATTCCTATGAACTACTGCTCCTTTACTTTAGTCTCTTGTGATAACTTTATGAGATATGCTTGGCCTAATATGTTTAAAGTTAAAGGACTAATTGAGGTGAAGGCGATTGTAAGTCTAACCATTATAATATTAAAACCTAGCAGAGTTGTAGGAATATATTTTTTTAAAATAATTCAGACAGCATACTGCTATACTTAAAGTCAAGATGCTAAAGAAGATATTCACAAGTCACCTGGCTTTATCACACGGCTTCCAGAGAAGGAAATGAGTAAAATTCCAAAGAGAAGTGGTTTGTAGTCTTCTTTAAAAACTGTTCTTATGGGCCGGGCGCGGTGGCTCACGCCTGTAATCCCAGCACTTTGGGAGGCCGAGGCAGGCTGATCACAAGGTCAGGAAATCAAGACCATCCTGGCTAACACGGTGAAACCCCGTGTCTACTAAAAATACAAAAAAAAAAAAAAAAAAAAAAATTACCCAGGCATGGTGGCAGGCGCCTGTAGTCCCAGCTACTCAGGAGGCTGAGGCAGGAGAATGACGTGAACCCGGGGAGGCAGAGCTTGCAGTGAGCTGAGATCATGCCACTGCACTCCAGCCTTGGCGACAGAGCGAGACTCTGTCTCTAAATAAATAAATAAATAAAACAAAATAGAAAAGTTCTTATCACTAGTACAAGGAGAAATCCTTGGCTTGTCCTAATATTAATTCACTGTCGTAATCACAGCATTCTTCCTTGTTTCCTCAGTGAACTCCTTGAGGACAAGGAATAGTGTCTTGAAAACCTCTTTAATCCTCAAATTACCAAGTACCGTGCCTAGTATATGATAAACAACAAGCAATAAAGGGATCAGGTAGTAAAAGTAACATCTGATCTTCCTGGAAAATGGGCACTGAATGACCAACAAGATTTCTAAGCAATTCTATTACACAAAATTCTTGAAGATACCACACAGCTTGCTCTTTTTCGGTCAAAGCAATTCTAACTTAACTAACACCTGGGAATTCCTGATATGGTCATAGGACCCTGTGCTAGAGTCTAAGGAGGAAAAATATGTATAAAATGCCGTCTTATATATTTTATACACATGTGATTTTAGTGGATTAATCTGGTTCATAAAGTGTTGTGGGGATACTCAAATTATTATCACTTATAGTATAAAGAAAAGATTTAGAATAAATTTACTTTTTTCATTCTTTTTCAACAAAGAGAACAAAACGATCAGGTACTTTTCGTTTTAAAAAGGGTCTGAAAAAAATCTATGTTATAAAAGAAGTTTTCATCGTAGCCATTCAGTTAAAGTAAAATTTTATTGGAACCAATTTTGACAGGTTTGTGAAAAATTCTGTCTGTTTCAGGTAGCAGATAATAAGCGAATTTATGATTTAAAAAGCAGTGGTGGCCGGGCATGGTGGCTCACACCTGTAATCCCAGCACTTTGAAAGGCCGAGGCAGGTGGTTTGTTTGAGCTCAGGAGTTCGAGACCAGCCTGGGTAACATGGTGAAACCCTGTCTCTACTCAAAATAAAAAAATTAGCTTGGCATAGTGGCACACGCCTGTAATCCCAGCTACTTGGGTGGCTGAGGCAGGAGAATCACTTGAACCCGGGAGATGGAGGCTGCAGTGAACCAAGATCAAACCACTGCACTCCAGCCTGGGGTGACAGAGTGAGACCCTGTCTCAAAAAGTAAAATAAAATAAAATAAAAATAAAGTAAAATAAAAAGCAGTGGTAACAAGCAGTGATCTTATAACTTTCATTTTCTCTAGGGCACTCCCAGACCAAGAGATGGATTAGCTGTTTGCCACACTCCTTTTTATTGCTAGTCTCCACGTCTTAACCTATGAGAGACTGTATAACTGAGCTGTAGATGAAATAAGGTGGGCCAAAGCAATATATGCCACAAGGAATACCCACAAGCATGACTTACGTTAGTTTTCCTGCTCGACTCTAGGAAATAAAGCAGAACATAGACTCAGCTGCTCCACCAGCCCCAGTGTCCACCTACCTGGAACTCCCATAGGTATTAAATAGGTGAACATTAAAAACTTTCAGTTTGCTGATCCATTATATTTCTGAGTACACTTGTTGTTCAGCCTCACCTACCCCAATGAATATATGATATCAGACATATTAAAAGACATCTGGATTCTGTATTAAACTATTTTCTATCCAAGTTTTAAAAGAGTATCTCTATGATTTCAAAAATATGTTTGAATGAATATCTTTAATATACAATTGGCTATATGCTATCTGTAATTATACCATAAGCCTGGGAATTTTTGTTATGTAAAAGTTTAAATGACAAAATCCTGACAGATTTAATTAGGTTTTTGTGAATGTTAAGTTGACAGCTATAGGCAACAATATTTCATTAAAGAGATATTTAAATAAATGTTAATTTTGATTTTACAATTTTCTTTCCATTAGGACATACTGCATTTTTTCATGTGTCTAATGCATAATAAAGTACTCAAACAGATATTCACTCACTGTATTCAAAGGCACAATTCTAATTCCCAGAAGAATTAGAAAGTGTTTGTTCCTTCATCTCTGCAATACATTCAGTGCTTACCATATAGTGTCTGGCACATAGTAAACTTCTAATAAGCAGTTTTTGAGTGATCTGTGGAGAAAGAATTTCAGTCCTGATGAAATTTGAGGACCAGGCAGGGAATATCAGTTGAGTCACTTATAAATTGGGTAATCTTTTAGCAACTGAGGGTACAAGATAAGGGATGAATCATACTGCTCCATAGACAAATAAGCAAAATATAAACATCAGTGTAAACCAGGGTCAGATATTGAAAAATGTTGACACTGAGATCCTTGAAGAACCAAAATTTCCACTACTCAGGAAGTGTAATGGATCCTGAACCTAAAAGGAAAGCTTAGTTATCACAAATGTAGAGTTTGGGGAGTTTTACAGTAAGGCAAAATATAAGAATACCTTTGTATTCTTCCTTAAAAATAAAAAAGCTTCCCATAATCTGTTAACCTACTGTTTATATTTTCCAAATTCATTTTAAAGAAGAAGGCTGGAATAGACACAATAAAAAACAAGATTTGACTAATCCTGGATATTTTCTAAGGAGACACTCTTGCTTTTTGGGATCTGCATGTCTTTCATTTTTCCCTCATTCAAGTACCCTTTAGACATTTTTAAATTGAGGTGTAATTTATTTAAAGTGTAGTACGTAAATCTTAACAGTACAGTTTGTTGAATGTTAACAAATGTATATACCCATGTAACTAAAACCTTAATCAAAAAACAGAATAGTTCTATCACCCCAGAAATAATATTTGTGCCTCATTCCAGTCAATGCTCAAACTCCCCCTGGAGTAAACGCTACTTTGATTTCTAGCATGATAGTTTAATTCTGCTTTTCATTGACTTCCATATAAGCAGAATGATACAGTATATGCTTTTGTTTTGCATTATTTTTTCCAACATAATGTTTTTAAGATTTATCCATGCTTTGTAAACATAAATTCTTTATTCTTTTGCATTTCTGAGTAGAATATTCTACTCAGCAATGTATAAAACTATATTGACTCTCCATTCTTTTGGTGATGGATATTTTCTGCTATTAACATTTTTGTATTTGTCTTTTTGAGTGATCACATGCTTTCTTATCTTTCATGTTTATACCTAGAAGAGGAACTGGTAAGATCCAGTATATATTTAAGTTTATATAAAATTGCCTATCAGTTTTCTGAAGTGTTGATACTATTTTGCACTCCCTCTAGACATATGTGAGGATTCTCATTGACTCCTATCTTTATTAAACTTTTTTAATAAAAAAGTTTGTCTGGCTTTTTTTTTTTTTTTTTTTTTTTTTGAGATGGAGTTTCACTCTTGTTTCCTAGGCTGGAGTGCAATTGTGCGATTTCAGTTCACCGCAACCTCTGCCTCCTGGGTTCAAGTGATTCTCCTGTTTCAGCCTACCAAGTAGCTGGGATTACAGGCATGCACCACCATGCCCAGCTAATTTTGTATTTTTAGTAGAGACGGGGTTTCTCCATGTTGGTCAGGCTGGTCTTGAACTCCCGACCTCAGATGATCTGCCCGCCTCGGCCTCCCAAAATGCTGGGATTACAGGTGTGAGCCATCGCGCCTTGCCTGGCTTTTTACTTGTTTTCATTCCAGTGGATGTGCAGTGGGATGCCATTGTGGATTTAAGTTTTCCTGATGATATTCAGCACCTTTTCATTTACAGACGATCCCTTACTTAGGATGGTGTAGCTTATGATTCTTTGACTTTATAATGGAGCAAAAATGATACACTTTCAGTAGAAACCGCAAAAGTGATATACTTTCAGTGGAAACCGTACTTTGAATTCTGAAGTTTGATATTTTTCTGGGCTAGTGACATGTGGTAGGAAACTCTTGGGATGCTGAGCAGAGGCAGTGAGCCACAGTTCATGAGGCTAAGCAACCTCATGAACTGTGTTGACAGATGATTTTGTCTAACTTTAGGCTAAAATAAGCGTTCTGAGCACATTTAAGGAAGGCCAGGCTAAGCAATGCTGTTCAGCAGGTTAGATGTATTAAATGCATTTTTGACTTACAATATTTTCAACTTATGATGGGTTTATTGGAAGGAAGCCCCATCATAAGTCAAGGAGTATCCGTGCTTATTAGCCATCCATCTATCTTCTTTTGGAAATTGTCTGTTCATGTCTTCTGCCAATTTTTATTAGATAATTTGTCCTATATTATTAAATTGTATGTGTGTGTTTTGTCTTTTAAAGACAAGGTCTTGCTCTGTCACCCATGCTGGAGCTTCCTGGCATGATCATATATCACTGCAGTCTTGGACTGCTTGGGTCAAGCAATCTACCCACCTCAGCCTCCCAAGTAGCTGGAACTACACACTCACACCATCATGCCTGGATAATTTAAAAAAGAATTTTTTTTGGTAGAAACAGAATCTCACTATGTTGCCCAGGCAGAACTGTAGGAATTCTTTATGTAATTGAATATGTCTTTTGTTAGATAAATGAAGTGTAATCATTTTCTTCCCAGTTGTATCTTTTTGTTTCCCTTCTTAATTGGTGTCTTTTGATGAGCATGATTTCAATTTACTGTTTCTTTCTTTTATATTTAGTACTTTTTATTGCCATGTCTACAAAATATGTGTCTACCCTAAGATGAGAAAATATTTCCTTATTTATGCTTTTGGTAGCTTTATAGCTTAATTTTTATGTTCAGGTCTATAGTCCATTTGCAGTTAATTTTTGAACAGTGTAAAAGGTCCATTGTTTCATTGTACTAACACCATTTATTTCAGACTTTTTTTCTGAATTGCATTAATTCATAGGACTCCCTATTTTGTTCCATTGATGTATTTACCTAACTTCTTGTCAAAATCATGTTGTCAAAATTAATGTAATTTTATTGTAAGCCTTGCAATTAGGAAATAAGTGTCTCTTATAATACAATATATTGCCTTGAAACCAAATACTGAAATTTGTTTTTCTGGATTGTTTTGGCTATGCCAGATCCTTTTCAATTCCATATATATTATAGAAGGAACTTGCAGTTTCTACAAAGAAGCAGTGCTTTTCATCTAGATAGCATTGAATCAATACTTTAATTTGAGAATTAACATTTTAATAATATTGATTCCAATTCATGAACATGGCATATCTCTTCATTTACTTACATCAACTTTAACCTCTCTTACATTGATTTTTATATTTAATTGCCAAGTTCTTGCGTATCTTTCAATAAATTTATTCTGAGTGTTTTATGTATTTGATACTATAGTACACTTTTAAAATTTCATTTTCCAACTATGTGTTGCTATTCTGTAGAAATACAGTTAAATTTTGTAGATTGGCGTTGTGCTCCTGACATTTCTAGTTGTTTTTTCTTTAAAGATACTTTGGGATTTCTTCATTCATTAAAAGTGCTTCCTTCAGCATATTTTTTGGGTGGTTTGGGAACCAATAAATTCTCTCAGCTTTGAAGTATCTAAAGATTTCTTTATTTTTGAAAGATAATTTTGCTGAATATTGAAGAAAGAATTGCAGGGACTTTTTTCCCTTTTCACACACTGAAAGTCTCATTGTCTACTAGCATTCATTGTCTTTTCATATACATATATAAACATAGATGTATATATTTTATACATCTATATGTATATATTTTATACATCTATATGTATATATTTTATATATATAAATATATATTTTAGATATGTTTATATATAAATACATAAATATATATTATATATAAATATATACATCTATATGTGTATATATATGTCACTGTACTTCAATTTGGATAATTTCTATCCATCTGTTTAAGAGTCATCAACTCTTTCTGCTGTGTCCAAACTGTGCTCAAAATGTTCACAAAGGACAGGAGGGGAAGAATGTTTTAGACTGCTTTAAGTTTCTAATTTTGAATACATTTTACATTTTATATGTTGTATTTTTACTTTTTAGATTTTTTATTTCATTTATGTAGTTTGTTTTCTATTCTGTATTTCACCATCTCTTCTCCTAATTTATTTCTTTTGTTTCATTGCTTTACTTCATAATTATTTAATATACTTATTATAGTCCTTTTAAACTTCTTCCTGCTAATTCCCAAATCTGGGTTATCTGTTGCTCTGTTTCTGTCAACTATTTTTTCCATTTAATCAAGGTAACATTCCCTGATGTCTTGTATATCATTTTTAAAAATTAATTAAATGTTGAGCATTTATTTACATTAAAAAGAGTACAGATTGAACTATAATGTATTTTATTGTTCTTGTTTTGTGTGATTTTTCGTAAGAGAGTTCAAGCCCATTCCTCTCTGTGGGGGCAAGTACTCTTAAGGAATGAGTTTTCAGATTCCATGAAGAGTTTTACTTGTGTTTGTGTGCCTGGAACCATGAATTGATTGTGTTCACCTGTGGTTTCATATTGGATTTAGGCAGTCGCTCTTTTCTCTGCAGCCAATTTCTTTGCTCTTTTCAGGACTCAAGCTGGGAGGGGTTTGAATTGCAAATGTAGGTAGTTTCGCTTCATGACTTTCTGCTTTTCACTCAGTTCAGTTGCCTTTACTCAGCAATCATCTCAAAAGGGCAGTGGGAGGATTGTCAGGCTGAAATATTGACTATTTGGTAATTTTCTGTCTTCCAATGTGTCATTATAACATTGGCTGGTTTCACAATGTCTCTGTAAGGCTCTCTGCCTATAGAAGGACCAGTCTATTACCCACTTATTGCCACACTAAGTCCTTGACCCCAGTGTGGCAGTGGCACTTTGATCACCCAGGAAGGGATTATCTCTCTTTGGAATTGTGCTCAAGACACCTCTATGTCCACTGCTCTTCATAGCTTTATAAAGATAATAAATTTTACTGTATTTTTGTCTTGCTACCACCATGGAACAGAAGTTCTTTTATGTACTCCTGCATCCTAATGGGAAGTGGAAATCCAATTAACTTTGTCTAAAAATATAAAACTCTAACTTGTATTAATACCTTCAGTGTGTAGCTTATAATATTTTTTGCAGTATTTCATGTTACATTTGCAGATTTTGTTCAATTTCTTTGCCCATCTAGAAGGCTCCTTATTTGGTAATGACATCATTAACCACTTGACTTATTACATGAGAGTAGTATGAGGTCTATTTTGAGCATATGAACTTTGGTGTTGAGAAACTTGGGTTTGAGTACAATACTATCAGGTGCTTGTGATCTGACATTGACCTCATCTAAAATGATGATAATAGTAGTGTCTTCACTAAGTTACTATGAGAATTAACATGAAGCTTGTTTATGCTTGGTGTATAGTAAACACTCAAAAAGAAATAGCGTTATTGTTGTACCTTATTGTAAATGTCTTTTATTTTCTCATACCTGTCACTCCACAGCCCCTCTTTCTTTGTCACTTTCAAATTATCTAATGAGAAATTTAAATAAAGTTTAACTCTAGTTCTAGTGGGTGATCTGCTGTGAAAACACAGAACTTCTTTGCATATTAAAGTGCCACCAACTTACCCAGATTTAAACCAGCCTGACAGACAGAGGATATGGATGAAACGCAACTGAGAAAATAGTTGCAATGTTTAAAAAAATGTTTGCACATAGCTACTTCTTTATTTAATTCTCTGTCACGGCTCTGGCTTAATGAACCTCATGATGATTTAATAAATTAATTAATCAACTCTTTAGAGAATATAATCAACAATTAGTAATTTCAGGTGATTATTTAGAAAAAATATATTTGAACTTCCACATTTTACTAGGACAGATACATTGCATGGGCACTGTTATTTACTTATAAATGGGAAGAACATGCAATATGAGAAGGCCTATATCTGTAACTGACATACATTTTGGAAGCAATGCAGTGAGGTATAACATTCATAATATATTGTTCTGGGCCACTAAGTGTGTTGCTTAAAGAAGTAGGTTATGAAATTTACTTTTGACATTTGTTGAACACCTGCGTTGTATGTTCATAAGAACTTTATCTTAAGGAACTAATATAAAAGAAAACATTTTAATTTTTCCTTTTTTGAATAATGTTAGTAAATATATAATAATGTCAGTATATACTGATTATTAAATTTTAGACATGTAGAGAAAAATAATAAATCACAATTATTAAATCATAAAGGGTTAAGGTTGGAATTAACCTGGCCAGGATACCAGAATAATGTGGTAAATGGACAATACAATTAATAAATAAATATATGAAGATATTAATGTAAATATTTAATTAGTGATAAATGCTTACAAGTTTTTTGAGTATATATATATATGTGGAGAGAGAGAAAAAAACAGTCTTCACACTTTTGTTTAGCAAAAATCACACAAATATAGAACAGTAGAAATATGACAATAGGAGCATGTGTTAAGAGACAGGAATCTTAGATAACAGCAAATCCAATGACTTTTTAGCATGAGAAGTTAACAATCACATGGGTAATCAAATTTGCACCAAGGAGTAAATAATAGTATCTAAAGAATAGAAAGTGTCAATCCTGTTTAATTGGAAGTGTATACTACTTTCAGTCAAGGAACTCTTTCTTTAAAATCAATGTGTCCAAATGAGAGTATAGGATATTTTAAGAACTAAAACCTATTTCATATAATATATTATTTTAAAAATTCATTTAAGTTGCTCAGCACTTCTTTTTCTTTCACATTTGCACTTTTGGTCTGTGGTGAGTTAAACGAATTTTGGGGCTGATCATGGAAAATAAAAGGATGCTTAGGTAGCAATAGTGCACAATGAGCTTTATTTAGGTTGCTGCTTTGACAGGTGTGCATATAGGGGAAGTCCTGTAGGGTATCAGAAACAGTACTCCAAAATGAAGGCCTCAGAAGCAGTCTCTCTGACCTTCTCCTGCCCTCCTGTCTGTAGCTCGCTATTTTTTCCCAAGGCGAGACACAAAAACTGGCATCTCTCTTCCCCAAAGCAGGTCATAGAAACCAGAACCTCTATTCCCCCAAGCCAGACATAAAACCTAAAAATATTACTCTAACTTTCCTCTCACCTTCCTTTCTAAAATCTGGCCATAAAGAAATTATTTGACCCACCTGGTTTGACTGTGGGTTGTAAGACCCCCATTCCAGAGGGGGTCCTGCCCCATACATATAATGCAGGAATGCTGCTCAGAGAGGCCAAGAAGAACCGAAGCTGACAGGCCTTGCTGGGCTTCCCCACTCACTCTGCTAGCATTAGACCATTCCTTCTTTGTCCAGTCCTATTTCTACACGGCAGTCCATATTTTGTTGAACTGAAGCATAAAAATGAACACTTTCCTCTACATAGTAGAGTCTTCATTCTCTAGGCTCCCATACCACATAAAACTGTGAACAAATAAATTTATGTGCCTTCTCTCCAATAAATCTGCCTTTGTCAATGATTTTCCATGAGCCTTCAGAAGGTGAAGGAGAAGCTGTCTCTTTGCCTAGACAGTCCCTAACAGCATGAAACCATCTAGAGGACATAGTGAGGAAAGTGAGAAGGAACGCCACAACTCAGAACGGTAATGTTTCTCAGCACAGAGAATGAGTCCCTGGATCAGAGAGCTGAGAAGGGCAGCAGTAGCTTGCATGGTTTTTTTTTTTTTTCGTTTCTTTTCTTTTTTTAATGGCTACAGGGTTTATCTTATCTATAGCTAGGAGATGTTGGGTATAGTTTCATGAAACTTGCAAAGCATATAGACTCCAAATGGCTTTAAAAATCTGCTTAATTGGGTTATGCTTAAACACCTGGATGTGTAAAATTTAAGTTTGGTGCTGGTGAGATTGTGAACAAATGGGTCCCATCCTGTAGGGAAGAAGAAACACATCAGGCCATTTTTGGCTCCTTTATAAGACACACATGGTATCCAGTCTGGCTGGAACACACTTCAAACCCATCTTTGTATGAATAACTTTTTACTTATTTGTAAGTTTCAACTGAAGCTTAACATTGTGTAGATGGCCTTCCTTGATGACTAAATTAGATTATAAACATTGTAACATGATCTTGTAGTTTGTGCCATGCCCCTATACTATGCTAAATGGCATCAAATTTTGTTATGAATTGCATAACATTTCTCTTCCCTTTTATGAGGTCAGAGATGACATCTTCTCCTGTCTCCACTCTGTTCTCAGTACCATAAATAGAGTTTGGAACATAGTAGGTGGTCAATAAATATTTACTGAATAGAGTACCTAGAGCTTTTTATCCTATAAAAGAAAAATTCATGGAACCTTGATTTTTTTCCCCCAAATATTTGAAGGGTTAAACTTAAAATATGTTGCATATTTTTAAGAAAGCCCTGAAATGCTAAAGAGTTAGTTAAGGATCCATGTGTGACTACCACAGAGGCCATTATTTTGACTCCTTACAATCAAGTATTAAAAAACAAAATCTAACAGCTCTCAAAGTTGTTAGGAGTTGCCTTGGAAGACAGTAAGTCTCTCAATTCTGTGGTGTTCAGCCTGGTGATTATTGATATTGTAGAGAAAATTCAAGTGTCATATAAAGATTTGGACTAATTGACCTATATGGAATTTCATCTTTAAATTCATTGATTCTAAGTAGCCTATTCTCTACAGCTACCCAATCATTCAAAGTGATCTTTTGCTTAAATAACTTTATTAAAGTATAATTGTTATATAATAGGCTGAACATATTAAAATGTACAATGTGAATTTTGACATGTAAATGCACCAGTATTACCATCAGAACACTCAGTATAACATAATAACACAATAATCACCCCCGAAAGTTTTCTCATGTCCGTTGATAATCCTTCTATCTCACCTTTCTCACCACCCCAACTTCTCACAATCACTGATGGACTTTCTGCAACTACAGTGTAGTTTGCATTTCCTAGATTGTTAAATACATTGAATCTTATGATTTTTTTGTGTGTCTTTCATTCAACTCACCATTTTAAAATTTATCCATGGTGTTGCATGTATCAATAAGAATTTATCCTTTTTATTCCTTAATAGTATTCCATCTTGTCTATATACCACAATTTGTTATCCATTCACTTGTTGACAGACATTTGGGCTGTTTCCAGCTTGGATTATTACCAAAAAAGCTGCTTGAGCACTCATGTAAACACCTTTAAATGGACACGTGCTTTCATTTTTCTTGGATAAATGTCCAGGAATGATTGTGTTTTATGATAGCTACATATATAACTTTTTAAGAAACTTTCAAACTATTTTCCAAATTGGTTGCACCTTTTCATATTCCCATGAGCACTGTATGAGATTTCTAGCTTCTCTACATCCTAATGAATACTGATAGGACCAGTCCTTTTAATTTTAGCTATTCAAATAGATGTGACATAGTGTTGTAGGACTTTTCCTTCATTCAGCTAAAGAAGGCGTCCTTGTCACACAACCACGAAAAATCAGGCTCGCAGACCATTTGAAGGGTGAGAAAAATGGAATTTATTGGGTAAAAAGGAAAAAAGAAGGAAAAGAGGGACTCTCAGAAGAGCAAAAGTTCTGCTAGTATATATGCTTCCGGCCTTGTAGATTGAATTCCTCGTTCCATCCCGGAAGAAGACAGGCCAGGTTCCGCCCCTGTGCAATCTGCGCGAACTTCCCGAGGCTCCACCTAGTGCCCATTCCTCCCAGTGCCCAGGCCGGTCAGAGGTTCTCCAGGGACCTATTTTTACTTGGCTGTCTCGGTATTATCTCACTGTGATTTTTATTTGTATTTTTCTACTGACAAATAATGATAAGCATCTTTTCATGTGCTTAGTTGCCATGATTATACTTCTTGGATAATGTATCTGTTCAAATATTTTGACCATTTAAAAATTTGAGTTGTTTTCTTCCTTCTGAATTTTAGGACTTCTTTATATGTTCTGGATACAAAAGTTCCTTATCAGATATATGAATTACAGAAATGTTCTCACTATCTGTGACTTTGCTTTTTATTTCCTTAGCAGTATCATTCAAAGAGCAAATTTGTTTAATTTTGATTTCATCCAGTTTATCAATTTGTACTTTTATAGTTTGTAGTTTTGGTGTTATATCTAAGAATTCTTTGCATAACCCAAGATTATGTAGATTTTTACTTGTTTTCTTTTAGAAGTTTTGTAATTTTAGGTTTTATACTTAGCTTTGTGATCTATTTTGAGTTTTTTTTGTGTATGTTGCTCGGTATAAATTGAAGTTATTAAATTGTGTGTGTGTGTGTATGTATGGATCCAAGATTTCCAGCAACATTACCTGAAAACATTGTTTTTCCTCCACTGAGTTGCCTTTGACCCTTGTCCAAAAAATTATTGATATATATGTGGGGTTCATTTCTGGACTTACTTTATTAATCTCTTTCAATACAAATGCCACATTGTCTTGGTAATATAGGATTATTGTAAGTCCACATGAATTTTAGAATGAGCTTCTTAAATTTTCCAAAAAATGCCTACTAAGATTTTGATTGAGTTATGTAGAATCTATGGAACATTCGTCATGTTAAAATTATTAAATCCTTTGGCCATGAATACACCTGTCCTTTATGTAGGTCTTTAATTCATCTTAGCAATGTCATGTGGTTTCCACTATATAGGCATTGCATCCCTTTTGGCAGATTTAACCCTGAGTTCTTTCAATATTACTTTTCAAAATTTCCACTTTTGTTTTTTTATTGTTATCGCCTAGAAAGAAAATAGGTTTTGGTATTTTGAACTTGTACCTTACAACAGGCTAAACTGTGCCTATTGGTTTACCTTCTAAGTTTAAGAGCACCCACAAGGAGAAGTAATCTTTAGTCTACCTTATCATAGCTGCAGCTGGAGAGGAAAGAAACACAAACTGCTAAAAGGAAGAACACTCAGCGCTGCTTTGATCTTCACCCCTAAAACCCCTGCCCTTGGCATAGCTTTCAGAATGTCAGTTCTCCCTTGATCAACCTAGAACATTTTGCTCTGAATAAGGAATGAATGAGTTCTCCCAGGAGGTGACCAGCTCACCTACAATCCAGCATCTGAATTTCTCATTTGTTTTTAACTTATTGTTTTGAGATTAACTTTTTTAAAGAGTATATTATTAGAAATTATTGCTTTAGGCTGGGCGCGGTGGCTCAGCCCTGTAATCCCAGCACTATGGGAGGCCCAGGCGGGCAGATCACAAAGTCAGGAGATCAAGATCACCCTGGTTAACATGGTGAAACCCCATCTCTACTAAAAATACAAAAAAATTAGCTGGGTGTGGTGGCATTCGCCTGTAGTCCCAGCTACTCAGGAGGCTGAGGCAGGAGAATCGCTTGAACCCAGGAGGCAGAGGTTGCAGTGAACTGAGATCGCACAACTGCATTCCAGCCTGGGCAACAGAGCAATACTCTGTCTCAAAAAAAAGAAAATAAATAAATAGAAATTATTGCTTTAGAATTTGTCACCAGTGTTGTTTAATCATTCACTCACCCTAGATCTACATCCTGCTGCTGCAAAAAATTTATCCACATGAAAGTCATTAAAACTTCTGCTCCTTAGGCTAAAAATACTTAATTATCTGAGTCACTTGTTCAAATCCATGAACAAATGGACAGATGATAATTTCTGAAGTTGTTTATATCATAAAATATAAAAATATTGTGCACTAACATCTATTAAAATATTTTGTTAAAAATCATGCATTTACATTTAAAGTATTAAGTAGATATTTAGAATACATTATAAAATATAAACCAACTTAGAATGTATGAAATAAACATTCAAAAGTTTAAGATAGATTAAACTGAAAAAATATATAAATAGTTGAGGGCGAAGAGCTGTCAGAGGTGTGCGAATCAGAGCAACTCCATCTTAAATAGGATCTGGGTAAAATGAGGCTGAGACCTACCGGGCTGCATTCCTAGATGGTTAAGGCATTCTAAGTCACAGGATGAGATAGGAGGTCAGCACAAAATACAGATCATAAAGACTTTGCTGATAAAACAGGTTTCAGTAAGGAGCCTGCCAAAACCCACCAAAACCAAAATGGCGACAAGAGTGACCTTTGATTGTCCTCACTACTATACTCCCACCAGCACCATCACAGAGCACAAATGCCATGGCAATGTTGGGAAGTTACCCTATATGGTCTAAAACAGGGAGGCAGAGGCATGAATAATCCACCCCTTATTTTAGCATATCATCAAAAATAACCAAAAAAAATGGGCAACCAGCAGCCCTCAGGGCTGCTCTCTCTATGGAGTGGCCATTCTCTTACTCCTTTACTTTCTTAATAAACTTGCTTTCACTTTGCACTGCTGACTTGTCCTGAATTCTTTCTTGAGCAAGATCCAAGAACCTTCTCTTGGGGTCTGGATCAGGACCCCTTTCCTGTAACAGAAATATAAATGGAATTATTCTATGCTTAATGAGAATTTCATGGCTAATCTTCATTACATTTCCTTTTTTCTCTATAGCTTGTATTTTTTTTAAAAAAAAATTTCCACCAAGAGAACAGTTGCTTTTATTGTTTGCTTAAAAATGAAAAAAATCACCTACAAAACACCAGCTTTATTTGCTGCTTTTGCAGCAAGGAAGACAGGTAAACCTTCGTTAAGTAAGAAAGTAATCGAAATTCAGATTTCTAAATTCACAGAGATGAAAACTGAGAGTCACTTCAAGGGCAGAATCTCTGCTAACGCCAATTAGAGCCTCTTTGGAAGACTAAAATTTTGAGGAAGTTTTTCACCAGTGCTGAGTCCAGGCACAAAATCTTTCTCATTCAGATTCTCTTAGTAATGAATCTTAAATCTTTTGTTTAATTTCTACTACAGTAATAATTATGGCTAGGAAGTCTAGGCCCTGAACAAAAATAATAACACATCTTCTAACTCTGTGGATTGAAAAAATAAAATAAAAACATAGAGCTACTTTTGTACAAAAGTAGTTCTACCATTTATTAACCATGTGTTCTTGGGCATGATTTTTGTCCTTGTTGAGGATCAATTATATCATCAGTAAAAACTGATTCTAAAGGAACTTGTTTGAAAATCACTTACGTGAAATCATTTTAAAAATGCCTATTAACTGCACAATTTAGTGTCAGACAAATAGTAAGTGCTTGATAAATGTTATTTGTTTGTTTGTATATATGCTACACATAAATGTTACCTAGACAACCTGGAGCAAAGCAGAATAGTCATTATCTTAGCTCTACAAAAAGTGTTTGAAAATAGTTATACAACCATAAGCCAGGAATCTAAAGTCATTTGGATGAACCCAGGGGAGTGGGCTCATAGACAGTTCTTGTACAATCTATTGAGTCAGCTTTTTGTCTCAGCTTTCTGATTTGCATTTGGTTTATCTTTCAATGACTGGAGTTCTGGAATGAGCCTTAGGCCAGTACTCCTTACACTTTAAGGTGCACACAGTTTACATTAAGATGCAATGGGGCCTAAGTTTCTGCATTTCTTAAAATGTCTATGTGAAGCCAATGCTGCTGATTCGTAGGCCACACTTTGAGTGGCAAGACTGCCCAGACAATTGAAATACCCCGTGTCTGTACTGTCTACTGTGTCAGCCACAGGGCACTTAAATGTGGTAAGTGCAACCAAGGGACTGCATCTTTAATTTTATTTATTTTTAAGGCATTTAAATTTAAATAGCCACCTATAGCTAATGGCTACTGTCTTAAATAGTATCCCTGTGAATAACATGGCTGACACTCTGATATTCTGTATATTCTTTTCCAACTTTCCCTTTGTAGCCCTCGGCTCAGGGTGGGCTCTGTTCTGAAACAAACCCCCATTGTTACTCACTTTACTTGAAGGATTGTCACAGTCCAGAGATTTCTGGTTCTTTCTTTCATCTAAAGAATCAGAGCTCTTAGAATATAACCAGGGCAGGTACGAGGCCATCCAATTGGCTGCCAATTCTAGAATTCCTCTGAGCTCTCTGGATTTCACAATCTGACTTTGTGACTTCCTGTTAAGGGTTGCTCAAGGGTCATTATCCCTTGAAGCTGGGTTAGTCTGAAATTCTACTGTAGGGCATTTCTGCGTTTCTTTGCTTGGCAAATTCACTGCTTTGTTTATTTTACATCCAAATTACACTTGTGCTTCTGTCTTCCTTTACCTAACAATTCACAGTTTTTACATCAAGGTGCTTTGTTTGGAAGGAAGATGAAATTGATCACAGAGGAATTATACAATCTGAAGGATTATAATTTTATATTAAACTCATTAATTTTACCCCCATCACCAAAGCAGCATAAAAACAAATTCTTATAATTGTGAACCCCAAATATCTAAGATCAGTCTCAATCAATTTAGAAAGTTTATCTTCCCAATGACACAGCCTCAGGAGGTTCTGATGACATGTCTCCAATGTGATCGGGGTACAGCTTGCTTTTACACATTTTAGGGAAACATGAGACATAAAGGAATATATGTAATGTGTACATTGGTTAGGTCCAGAAAGGAGGGACAAAAGGTTGGATTCTTTTGAGTCCTGATCAGCCTTTCACTGAATACTCAATTTAGTCTAGCTCAGTGAATCTGCATTTCTACATAAACAATAGGGTAGAGGAAGCAATTAGATATGCATTTGTCTCAGGTGAGCAGAGAAATAACTTTCTGTCCTGCACCTGTAAAGATAAGCTATCAGTTTACATTGCGGGCGAAATTCAACAGAACTGGCTTAGGGTAAAGATCTTCAGGCCCTCAAGGAATTTCCTTGAGGGCAAATTGTGAAGGAGGTCTGTAGCTTTTTTTTATCTTTGTAGCTATCTTATTTAGGGATAAAATGGGAGGCAGGTTTACCTGACATAGCTCCCTGCTTGACTTTCCTCTTGGTTTACTGATTTTGGGGTCCCAGATTTATTTTCCTTTTACGTATTTATATGGCATTTTATACTTTTGCTTATTTTTATTTCATTGGAGTTTTGCCTCTATTCAAAGGCATCATTCATCCTTTCAAAGAAGGTGCCTATTAGTTTACCTTTCCTCATTGCTTCTTTACTCTTGAATTCCAAGGTATACAACACTCTGAAGATGTGACAATACCACATTAAACTCTAAGAAAATTTGACGTATATGCATATCCAGATTCAACACAATTAAATTAATATTCTATATATATTATTATATGAAATATATGAATAGGTATGAATAATATATAGATTTCATATATATACTATGTATGTAGTATATAGTCTATATACTATATACTTATATATAGTATATAGATTTCATATATATACTACTCCAGTACTGCTCCTATATATGAGTATTTATATATGAAATTAACATATATCAAATTTCATATTAATTTCATATATAATTAATATTTTAATTAATATATATCATAAATTTCATATTAATTTCATATATAAATACTCATATACAGGAGCAGTACTGGAATACTACAGTTAACTTAGCAAATATTAAATGTGAAGCAATTATTAAAATAAATCTTTGTTTAGGACAAATATCTGTTTGTCAAGATTCTAGGTCACATTACCTAAGTCAGCTTTCCCAGTTCAAATGGTCTGAGTGTGATCTAGGCTTTAGTTGTAAAAGATATTTCTTCTGCTGTTGTTGAAGTTATGTAGTGATTTAATAAGTTTCTTTTTTTAAATCAAATAAGTTATCAAGATATTTACTTTCCTAGTTTTTATTTTGCCTTTGAAATGGGAATTACCTTATACAAATACAGCATAAATACATATAGATTCTCTTTTTAATATGAATGGGAGAACATGTCAAGCTCAGGTGTGATTATTAATAGCATTGCACTTTGATCATATTTCATACACTTGTTTCCAAAACATTTCTGGAAATTGTTCTCCTGTTAATGAATGAAATGCCCTGGAACAAACATTTAAGAAAAGGGTAGAAAAAACTGAATTTGGTTTAGCCTGAGAAAACTAAGAATTAAAGGAAGTGTTGAAAACCAATAGAGACCATAACATTTCAAGAGAACAAGGCTAGAAAGTGCTGATGGGGAGATACGGGAAAGGAAAAACAGTGTAATAGCTTGTGAGGGGTCAGATAATTTGCCATTATAATTTTAGGAATAAAAGAATGCAATTAGAAACCAAGAGTCATCTTGTGCATTCTAAAGGTGGAAGCCACAAATCTCCTCATGCAAATGTAATAGCATTGAAGTTTCTTAGCGCTGACCTGTCTTTTACAGAGAAGAAAACTATGGTGGGGTGATACACTGATTTTCTTACTAAACTCCCCAGTGAATGGCAGAGCCAGAGGATGAGCTCTGGTCTCTGATTCACTGATATTCATTACAGGCGTCGCTGGGAGAAAACTAGTTAGCATCCTCCTAAGGTTCACTCCAACACTTGTGACCTGGGAGCCATTTCCTGTTGTTTCCTACACTGTGTTCTTCCTGTTGGTCTGAAATGTCATCTGCATTGTCATCCATCTACAGAGTATCTCATGGGTTTGTTTGCCCTCTTCAGTCTACTGGCTCATCACATTCTTTCTGTCTCTGCACACTTCATACTGGTTTGATACAAATATCAATTTTTTCATGACCTACCTACCCATTTTTTTCTTAATTTAGAAATACTTCTAGCATGCAGAAAAGTAATGACAAAAACCACAATTACTTTTGCACTAACCTAATATCATACACAATCATATAGCGACCCATTTAAAAAAAAAACAAAAAACTTACTTAGATTGCTACTTTAGCTTCAGAGCACTCATAGATTCAGTTAATGTACCCTATCCTCAGCAAAATTCCATTTCCTTCTTTCGCTTCTCAATTAACTTTAATTCTGAATTTGATGTTTATCATGCCAAGCCTGTTTCTATACTTTCAACAAATTCACACGTATCTAGAAACAATGCCTCATATTGCTATGACTAGTAAATGTCAACGGATGTCTGCAAGACAAACTCCCAACAGTTTCTTCAGTACTTCAATCCTGGATTAAAGAAGTTTCAGCCTTACTACATATGCCTAATTGTTCTCCAAAGCAGCTGGACAAATTTATACTCTTGGACCCAACATAAAACTATCCCCTTGGCCTACATCATTTACAATACTTGGTATTGCAAGACTTTTATATCTTTACCCATTTCCTATGGTGCTGAAATGACGGCTGACTTTTACTTTACTTTCGATTTCTCGAATTATAATTTCTCTAGTTTCCAGTGAGGTTTTTCTCATGCACATTAGCCCCTTGGGTTTATATTTCTATAGATCATCTCTTCATATCATTTACCTACTGGGTTTCATTGGATTGTTGGTTTGTTTTTTAATTGATTTAATATTTTACTTGATTAGTTTTATATTTTTAAAGGTTAATATTTAAATTAATATTTTATGGGTTTTATATCCATATTCTTCTACTCATATTTTCTTAGTTTTATATCTGTGTTCTTCTACACTTCTAATTATATGCTAAATATGTGCTAAATTTTCTGTGAATGTATCTCATATTCTCCCAAATTCTCCAATGGGACTCTAATACTCTTCTAATGAAGTAATCTATTGATTCCATTTTAAAAGTTTGGCTTTTATTCCCCTTGTGGGGAGACTATGTTCTTCTGGTCTTACCTGGACTGATTGTTTTCTAGCTCAAGGACACATCTCTTCTCTGTCTTTGCCTGCCATTCACATCCTGGGATGTCTCCTTGCTTGATTCCTGTGTTGGATCCTCTCTTTATTGGATTCTATGTTATCTTCCTGATATGTTGTTTTAATGGAATACAGTTTTCAATGCCTTCATGATAATTAGTGTGGTACCCATGAGGTTAATATTTCAAGAACTAGCATGCCTGAAAATCTGTTTATTCTGTCATTTTATTCGATCTTATTCCCATTATTCCTTTTGACTTATTTTTTGGAACATTTTCTCAACAATAGTTTTAAATGTTTTAGTTATTATAATAGTTTTTATTTTAAGAAAATTTTTATTGTTCTCTCTTTTTTATTGCTTTTCTTCTTTTATAATTAGTAAAGCATCTTCTCTCATTGCTATGAGAATATTCTAATTTCTAAAATTTTTTGCATTATCATTTTCTCTTCTGAAATCTTCTGTGATCTATTTGATTTGATCTCTTAGATTTTCCTCACATATTTATTTTCTTAGCCTAAATCATTATAAAGATGATTGAAATGTTATGTTCATGTATGGGACTTGTCGGCTGATGAATTTTATCAGAAGAGTTAGGATAATGACCTGGACTTTTTTTTGAGGGTATATTAAGTGTGGTTCTCCAGAGATAGATAACCAATGGAGAGAGAGAGAGAAAGAAAGAGAGAGAAAGAGAAGGGGGAAGAAAAGAGAAAAAGAGAGGAGAGAGGGGAACAGAGCGAGAAAGAAAGAGATTTATTTTTAAGGAGTTGGCTTATGTGATTATGGAGGCTGGCAAGTCTAAAATCTGCAAGATGGACTGGTAGGCTGCAGACCAAGGAAAGAGCCTCTGCTGCAGTTCAAATCTGAAGATCATCTTGCTGGTAGAATTCTTTCTTATTTGGGGGAGGTCAGTCTTTTGTCCTTTGAGGGGCCTTCAACTAATTGGATGAGGCCCCTACCGATAACATGGAAAGCAATCTGCTCTACTCAAAGTCCACAGATTTAAATGTTAGTCCATGTAAAACACCCTCACAGAAACATCCAGAATAATGTTTAACAAAATATCTGGGCATGGAGGCCCAGCCAGGTTAATACATAAAATTAATCATCACAAGGGATACCTAAATGTAAGTACCAGGAGGCATTCTTTCTTATTCTAGAAGGTTTTCCAAGGAGAAATCCTTTAATTGTTTGCCTGAGGATGGTTAGCAAGCCTTCTAGCAATCTGGTAGCTGAGCAGAAAATTAGGGATAGGCAGGAGGTTGTCACCTTTCATTATGTAGAATGTTTCTTTATCTCCCTGTTTTTGGCATAGTGCCTCATTCTCACTCACTCTCTTCACTGACTTATGTCTAGAGCTTCTCAGTTCAATTTCTCCAGAGAATAAATGCTGGTCTCTACTAGGGTATGGACAGCTACTTAAAACTCTAACTGGTCCTTTATACTGACAGCTAACAAATTATCCTACATTCAGTGTCACAGTTCATCAATGCCTTTTAGATAACTGGAATGTTTTCATTTTAACAAATCATTTCCTATGATCTGTGGCATGAATCAGCATATTTATCTTAGCATTCCCTTCTGCAAACCTTTAGACTTCAAATTTCTTTGTTCTGTTGACTTAGTTGCCAGTCATTTTCCAGATTTCCAACCTTCAAAAATTTGTTGACAAAACTCATCCAATATTATTTCTTCTGTTCTCTTAATTTTGACATGTTTATACCTTTGAAAACTGTTTCCTTGAGATATAATTCACATACCATGATATCAACCTACTGAGTTTTTAACTAAAACTTTTTTATCGTTTTTGAGAGTTTCAATAGATAGTAGAAATAAAAATGCTTGTTTGATTATACTTCTCCTGTAATCTTTATTTTGGCCCTTTCAAACCTCCTGTGCAATGTGTTAACAGCTGTGATATAATCAACATGTCATAAAATTTATCCTTTTAAAGTGTGACATTCAGAGTTTTATAGTATTTTCAAAAGTTTGTGCAAATATCACTGCTATCTGATTTCAGAATATTTTCATCACCCTCCAAAGAAAACCCTATATCCATTATCCCCATTTCATATTGAATGGGCCATTCCTCATTTCCTTTCACCGGGTTCCTGGGAACCAACACCCTACTTTCTGTCTCTACGGATTTTCTTATTCAGGACATTTAGCGTAAATGTTAACATACAGTATCTATCTGGCCTTTAGTTCTGGCTTCTTTCACTTAACAATATGCTTTTAAGGTTCACCTTCATCATATATTCACACCTGATTCTTTTTATGGCTGAATCGTAGTCCTTTATACAGCTATAGCAGATACTGTCTATCCATTCATCAGCTGATGAACTTTTGGGTTACTTCCACACTTGACTATTATAAATAGTACTTCTATGAACATCTGTGTACAAGTTTTGGTGTGAAAATGTGTTCATTTCTGTTGGATAAATATTTAAGTATGGAATTACTGGGTTATCTAGTAATGATTTCCAGCTTTTTGAGGAGCTGCTAAACTGATTTCAGAAGTGGCTGTATCATTTTGCATTCCTACTACAATTGTCTGAAGATGCTAATTTCTCCAAATTCTTGCAATACTTGATATTTTCCATTGTTGATTATAGGCATCTTAGTGAGTATGAAATGACATTTCTTTTTTTTTTTTTTCAAAATGGCCAACTAGGAGTATTTCAAGCACACCTCATCCACTTAGAAGAAGCAAAATAATGTGTAGACAATCACACTTTTAATATATTGTCCAAGAAGGAACATGAGAGTTCAACAGCAAAGTGACAGAAAACTCTCAAAATTAGGAAGGAGGCAAACAATAAGCAGCCTGTGTGACTGGGACCAGCCGGAAAGTAGGAATGACTCTCAATGCAGGAGAGAGTGAATAAGTGTTTGTCTGTGGTTCACTTATCCCCTGGGACAATCCAGGACTCAAGAGAGCATCATGACCCTCCCAAACCCTGCTCCAGGAAGAACATACCTTGTGTTTCACACCCTTCTTGAATGTAAGTGGTCATAGTAAGACACTGTACTTAGTCCTCACTCCTAACAAATTGTGCATGGTCTTGGGAACAAGCAGTGCCAGTCCTAGGCACAGGGAAACTGAGGCTACTGCTTGTGAAACCATGGCAGAGGGATTCTGCAACAAGTATTGAGAAGCAAGCATGGTGTGAGCTGTGGCCACTGGCAGTGGAACCAGGCATTGCCCCCAGGACTTGAGCAGGATGAGATTTGCAAGGAAGACTTAGTCTTGAGCTGGGTAGTAGCTCCTATAGCTCAGGACAGAGTTGCAAACTTGGTGCAAACTTGCAGGTCTCATGGAACCTCCAGGTTGTCTGTGATAGCTGGGATAGTAGAGTGAGCCCCACCAGGTCTGGGGTGTGATAAAGACACTGTCCCCTGCCTACCAGCAGAGGTTGTGGCTGCTGAAACCTTCTCCACTCTCACCATGGAAGGATCTCAGTACAGTGGTGCTAACCCCTCAGCCAAGCAGTCTACCAGGGCCTGAACAATTGAGCCATCCCCACCTGTCATGGCTGATGCAGGCACTTGCCTTTGGGGGCCTGAGCATGAGCTTTCCTGGTCCAGTTCCACCCAGCTTCATCCCCCACTGAGACAGAGTATGGGATCCAGGGCACTAGGGGTTCCACAACACAATCCACCACCTGGGACAACTGAGTACTCCTCCTGGGGGACTAAAATTGAGCATAAACAACCTATTGCCAACACCTCAATGGGCTCCCACATCCAAACACCACTACTGGCCTGGAGGCTGGCCCACAGAGCTCGTTGCCAGCATTTCATCACCACTGCAATAGCCTTCACCCATGCTATGCCAGCTGCCCAGGAGCTCAAGAGCTCACTTATTTTCCCAGTGCATTGCTACTAAGCTTGGCACCCAAGAAAGTCATCCAAAGGTCCAGGAATCAGCCTGCCTAGCACATCTAACACCATTGCTTGCATATACCACCACAAGGCACAAGGACAGTCATGCGAGGCCACCACTTCTATGACTGAAACCTGAAGATGGGCCCAGACATCAGCCCCACTTTACCATAGCCTCCACCAAACCAACCCTAACAAACTGAGGAGATCACTGACATCACTAATACTGTTTATAGCCAGAGAAATTATAGAGAAATTTTGCTAACATATGCACCCAGAAGCAAAGACAAAAAAACCTGCCAAAATTATAGTCACATCTTCAGGAAAAATCCCTACCCTGAACAAAAGTAAATTCAAAAATAAGAGGTGACAATTACACCAGATTACACAAATCAATCAATGTAAAGACATAGAAAACATGACAAGCAAGGTAATATGACACCCCAAAAAGAACACAACACTTCTCCAACAACAAAGCTTAACCATAAAGAAATCTTCAAAATCCCAGATAAAGAATTCAAAGTGTTGATTATAATGAAGCTCAATGAGATGCAAAAGAAATCTGAAAACCAACACAGAGAACTCAAAAAATCAAGATATGATGGATACGTTTACTGAGGAGATAAATCTAAAAATAAAACAAAGCACCAGAAATTCTGGAACTAAAAAATTCATTGAAGGAAACACAAAATACTTTTGAAAGCTTCAACAATAGACTAGACCAAGCAGAAGAAAGAATTTCAGAACTGGAAGACAAGTCTTTTAAAATGATACAGTCAGACACAGTTGAAAAAAAAGAATAAAAATGAATGAACACAGCCTCGAGACATTTGGGACCACAGAAAATGACTGAATTTATTAATTTTCAGTATTATAGAGAGTGAAGAGAGATCAAAAACTTTATAAAACCTATGTAGTTAAATAATAGATGAAAACTTCCCAAGTCTAGTAACAGATTTAGACATTCAGATACAGGAAGCTTATCATACCAGTCAGGGTTCTCCAGAGGAACAGAAGTAATAGGATATATATATAAAATAAATATATATATATTTATTTAATAACTTATTAAATTTGTGATCATGTGAGTTAATACTCCATAATAAAATCCCCTGTATGTATATATGTATGTGTGTGTGTGTGTGTGTGTGTGTGTGTGTATGTGTGTATACATATGTGTGTGTGTGTATATATATACATATATATATAGGGGAGTTTATTAAGGAATATTAACTCACATGATCACAAAGTCCCACAATAGGCTGTCTGCTAGCTGCAGAGCAAAGAAGCCAATTTGAGTCCCAAAGCTGAAAAACTTGGAGTCCAGTGTTTGAAGGCAAGAAGCATCCAGCATGGGAGAAAGATGTAGGCTGGGACGCTAAGCCAGTCTAGTCTTTTCACATTTTTCTGCCTATTTTATATTCTGGCCACACTGGCAGCTGATTAGATTGTGCCCACCAGATGAAGGGTGTGTCTGCCTTTCCCAGCCCACTGACTCAAATGTTAATCTCCTTTGGCAACACCCTCACAGACACATCCAGGATCAATACTTTGCATCCTTCAATCCAACCAAGTTGACACTCAGTATTAACCATCACACTCATGATCCCCAGGAATAGGCAATGCAAAAAGGACTTCATCATGTCACATTATAATCAGACTGTCTAAAGTCAAAGTGGAAGAACACATTCTGTAATCAGCCAGAGAAAAGCATCCAGTTACTTATAAAATAAATCTATCAGGCTAACATTGAAGTTCTCAGTGGAAACCTTACAGGCCATAAGAGAATGCGGCAACATATCCAAACTGCTGAAATAAAAAATAAATAATAACCACCCAAGAATTCTATATCTAGCAAAACTAACTCTCGTAAAAGAAACAGAGGTAAGGTCTTTCTCGGACAAACAAAGGCTAGGGGAAATCACCACTAGACCAGTCCTACAAGATATGCTCAAGGGAGTCCTAAA
Source organism: Homo sapiens (assembly GCF_000001405.40). Taxonomy (NCBI): domain Eukaryota; kingdom Metazoa; phylum Chordata; class Mammalia; order Primates; family Hominidae; genus Homo; species Homo sapiens. The sequence goes on along the minus strand of NC_000001.11, from coordinate 239,224,341 downwards.
TTGAAAGTGAAAGGACAAAATTTAGCAACATGTAAACCCAAAAATGTATAAAACTCATGGTAAAGCAACCACACAAAAGAAGAAGGGAAAGGAATCAAAGATACCACTACAGAATTCTACTAAACCACAATTACAAACAGAGAGAGAGAGAGAGAGAGAAAGAAAGAAAGAACAAACTTATAAGACAACTAGAAAACAATTAATGATATGACAGGAAGAAAGCCTCATATATCAGAATAAATCCTGAATGTAAGTTGAATAAATGCACCATTTAAAAGATATAGATGGGCTGTATGGATTAAAAAAAAACTGACTATATGTGTTTACAACTATATGTTGCTCACCTTCTCCTTAAAAGCACATACAGACCAAAAGTTAAGGGGTAGAAAAATTATTCCATGCAAATAGAAACCAAAGTGAGCAGGAGTAGCTATACTTATATTAAAGCTTAATTTAAGTCAAGGATAATAAAATAAAAACAAAGAAGGTAATTATATAATGATAAAAGGATCAGTTCAGCCAGAGGATATAACAATTCTAAATATCTGTGCACCCAACACTGGAGCACCTAGATTCAGAAAATCAATATTAGTAGACCTAAAGAGAGAGATAGACAATAATACAATAATGGTGGGGGACTTCATCAACCCATGTACAGTATTAGACAAGTCATCCAAACAGAAAATCAACAAAGCAACATTTGTTTTAAATTGGACTTGCTAACCAAAAAGTGACTGAGGCAGGTGTCTTGATCAGTAGATTTAGCAAGCCAAAGTTTGAGGAAGTGCCCAGGAAAAACACAAGTTCACAGGAGCATCTATGACCGGTGCATCTCAAAGAGGGTTTGAAGAACTCAGTATTTAAAGGGGAAAACATAAAGCAGAAGGGAAAAACTGAGAGAGAATAAGCAGTGAAGCAAATGATTACCTTCTTGTGAGGCTCTGATTAATGCTCAGTAAACCTACATTTTACATAAGATAAAGTAAACATTTGAAAAGACGGAGTGGAGGACAAAGTATAATATGCCTCCACCTCAGGGTAGGTGGAGAAATAATTTCTTGTTCTTGTTCCCATTCCCTACCTGGGGAAATAAACTTGAAATCAACATTGACAGTGTGAGATTTAACAGAACTCAATTTTAGGGCTGGTTTTATGGGGAGATATGTATCATGTCCTGAAGGATTTAGGGGCTAATAAATAATTTTTTGTGAGGAATTTGTGAGGGGGACCATCTGGGGAGATATATGGCCTTTTGCTATTGTGAGAATCTGGTTTATGTATAATGCCATGAAACAGGATTGTGAAATTACAGCTATCTGTTTGGGCAAAAAAGAAAAGAAGTATTGTGTGACTCAGTTCCCAGGCTTAACTTTCCCTTTGACATAGTGAGCTTGGTGTCACAATATTTTATTTTCTTCTACAGACTTAAGATAAAATTGACCTAGCAGACATTTACAGACCATTCAGTCCAACAAGTACACAATATACATTCTTTTCATCAGCACATGGAACATTCTCCAAGATAGACTAAATGTTACACCACAAAACAAATCTTAACAAATTTTTAAATTTGAAATCATATCAAGTATTTTCTCAGACCACAATGGACTCAAACTTCAAATCAATAAAAAGAGGAATTTTGGATAGTACATAAATACATGAAAATTAAACAACATGCTCCTGCACTACTGGGTCAGTGAATAAATTAAGACAGAAATAAAAAAAGTTTTTGAAACAAATGAAGATGAAAACAAAACATATCAAAACTTTTGGGATATAGCAAAAGCATTGATAAGCGTGAAGTTTTTAGCATTAAATGTCTCTTCCAAAGAGGTAGAAAGATTAAAAATTAACAATCTAATGATGCACCTCAAGGTATTAAAAAAGCAAGAAAAAACCAAACCCAAAACCAGCAGAAGAAAAGAAATAACAAAGATGGGAGCAGAACTATATTAGAGACTAAAAATATACAGAAGAGATCAACAAAATGAAAAACTTATTCTTTGAAAAGGTAAACAAAATTGATAAATCACTACCTAGACTAAGAAAAGAAGAGAGGAGACTCAAATGAAAACCGGAAATGCAACAGGAGACATTACAACTGTTACCACAGACACACAATGAATCATCAGGAACTATGAATTATGTGTAATTATATGCAAGATTATATCAGTAATAAAGTCTCCTAAAAAGAAAAGTTCAAAACCAGGTAAATTCACTGCTGAATTCTACTAAACATACAAGGAAGAACTAATATTATTTCTCCTGAAACTGCTCTAAAATTTGTGAAGGTGGTAATTGTTCCTAAGTTATTCTACTAGGGCAATATCATCCTGATACCTAAACCAGACACATACAGAACAAATAAAGAAAACTACAGATCAATATTTTTTATGAACATAAGACAGGAAAATCCTCAATAAAATATTAGCGAGCCAAATCCAACAACACATCGAAAAGATAATACTATTTAGTGGGTTTTATACCAAGAATGCAAGGATGGTTTAACATGCAAATCAATAAATGTGATACATCAGATAAACAGAATCAAGGACAAAAAAAAACATGTAATCATCTCAATAGACACAGAAACAGCATATGATGAAATTCAGTATTTCTTCATGATAAAAACTCTCAACAAACTAGGCATACAAGGCATATGACTCACAGAAATAAAGGTCACAAACAACATAGCTCTTTAAAGTATATTTAAAATAGCTGTCAGTATTCTTTCTCGTGTGTGATCATTGAAGTCTGTACTCTGTTAGAATAGTGTTAGCTTACTGAATGATTAGACAGATATTTTATTAAATGCGAGAAGCTGCAAAATCTCCCAGTCTTTGCTGAGGGACTTTATGTGCATATCCAGGCAGGTTTTTAATAGTCAGCAAAGCAAAAAATTCTGCTTTTGTCTTCACTCTATGCTCATGTAGAGCTTCAAAGTAAGCCAGAAGTGATAGCTTTCAGCTTTCTCAGGTCTTTCTCAGGTAAGTGCATAGTGTGTTCTATGTGTGTGTGGTGTTCTAGATTTCCAGGATATGTCATGACTTTTCAAAGTCCCTGCAGACAACTCATTCCCCAGTTTACCCTTTTTATCTGTTTGGTTAGTATGCTGTTTATACCAACTATTATTCCTCCTTATATTAGCCAACATGAGGTTAAAACGCTTGCCTGTAATTGCTTTTGACAAACACCTCTCAGATAGAGAATTTTTGCTCTGATTGAGTTTCACATCAGGCCAAATATAGATAATCTTGTTAAATGAAGTCTTCCGGGGAACTACCGGTAGGTCAAATAACGATGATTCTTTGGGAATTAGAGTTTGAAAGGACTCCATTACTGTATCCTCCTTCTGGTAGCTTTCAGGATGTGTTGTGATTGTGAGCTGTTATTTTTCAATGCTATTACAGACCTGGAGAGCAGGAGCTGGGACTAGAGCAAGTTAAAATGCCACAAAAGTTCATACTGAGATTCAGCTGCTTTTCTTGAATATAAATGCTGCCTGAGTTGCTGCAAACTTGTGGTTGATTGCATGCCAGAGTTCTGAAAATGTTGATTTTGACAATTTTCCCCTTTTTTTCTTCATTCCTGTTGTGGAGGAGCTCATTTTCAGAGGTCCTTACTTTGCTGCTTTTCCTGACATCATTCTATCTTTGAGGTTTGTTGATATAAACTGAGACTTTGGAGAATTATCTAAGACCTACCCCACGTGATGAGGCCCATATCTATGTAACTTTGTCATTTGTTGTGCCTAATATAGTATATACTCCGGTCTACGTTTTTGGCCATTATACCAGCTATAATCCATGGAAAGAATTATATTTCCTCCCCTGACTGGATGATTATAGAACAATTAATTTCATATCAGGGCACGAATTAAGATATACCATACTGCCTGGGATTTTGAGAAATATAAACTTTGTACTCTCTTGAGCTAAGAGAATCATCTTCCTTTTCAATTAATCTAGAATACAGGGAAATAGTAATGCAAAGATGCTTTGATTTAAAAAGAATTTCTGGGGGACTTTTTCTGCACAAGGATCAATTATGCTGGAGGAAAATAACTGACTTTTAGCTTTATCTCTGAAATTAAGAAATTATCCCTTAAAAATTATATTAACCTAATGAAGACTACCGCCCAACAAGCTATGAGAGGAAGATAATTAATTTGGTGTAGCCTTGACTGCTTTGCTCTCAATGGGTCCACACTGAACGAACTCCTGTAGGGCCAACTTTAAGCCTTAATTTTCACTTTATCCGAGATTCTCTAGCCTGCTTTTGACCTGAGCTATAGCCTGAGTATGCACCTCTAATTTTATGAAGGAATGCTAGCCATACTTGTTTGGCTCATGAGGACTGGATGATTATTTCACCCACACAAGGTGCAAGGCCATAGTGCACCTTACAGGGCCTGAGGGTGGTGAAGGAAGGACCACCTGCCTTGCTGGTCTGTGTAATTCCCCAGAGCTTCCACAAGGGAGAATCAATCCAAATCAGGCTCAGGTAACTTATCTTAAAGTCCTTATTGGGTATACTTTTCTGTTAGGCTTTGTAGTGGTGCTTCTGATGTTACCTCTGCCTCTAATTAGCAGTAACGACTTATCTTAATGACACAAAAGGCTTATATCAACTTATGCCTACGATGTGTAGGATTTTCACTAACTGTCTGTGCTGGGAATGGCTAGTGTTCTCCCAACCAGGATAGAGTCCTAGGACTAGGCAAGCATAAAATTTGTGGTTATGTTTTCCTAGCTTAACTAGTGCAATTACCAGTGGCTTACAACTGAATCAAGTCTCTGGCCTCTTCTCATGTCTTTCCATTTTCTTTATATGCTATTTGTTTACTTTCCAGATATCTTGGAAGCAAACTAGGAAGCCTATGACACCAGCAGATTAGAAAATCCATAAACCTTGCTTTCTGGCCAGGTGCGGTGGCTTACACCTGTAATCTTAACACTTTGGGAGGCTGAAACAGGCAGATCACTTGAGGTCAGGAGTTCGAGACCAGCCTGTCCAACATGGTGAAACCTTGTTTCTACTAAAAATACAAAAATTAGCCAGGTGTGGTGGCGCATGCCTGTAATCCCAGCTACTCAGGAGGCTGAGGCATGAGAATCGCTTGAACCCAGGAAGCAGAGGTTGCAGTGAGCTGAGATTGTGCCACTGCACTCCAGCCTGGCGATGATGTGAGTGAATGAGACTCTGTTTAAAAACAAAACAAAAAAAAAACAAAACAAACAAACAAACAAAAAAAGTCTTGCTTTCTGGATTCCCCTCACCTCTCCTGAATCTTCCCCCTCTGACAGAGAAAGAATCCTTTATTATATGAAATCTGCTTAACATTGTTAGTTTTCTTAATACTGCTTTATGCTGCTTTAAGTCATCCTTAGCAAGGTTAGTGGTGTTCCCTGGTACTGGCCCAGGTTATTCAATGAATTATTTCTACAATGGGTTGTCATATCTGCTTCTCCCACTTTCAGAGATAAACTGTGTTTGCTAACACATTTGCTATGTCAAAAGTTATAATCTCAGCCATGATCCGTAGCTCCCTGGTGGGACTGGGACTTGGGTTTGAATCAATGGGATGGATTTTCTAGTAAGCCTATTTTACACTTTGCCATTGAGGGGGGTCATGAGTAATCAAATCCCTATGAATCTATTACTAGGTTGTGATACCCTCCTTTTAATTGTTTCCCTGTCATCAATAGTGAGGCAAAGACAACAAACCTATTAACAAGGACTGAACCATAACCATGCAGAGATTCAACAGACTACATCTGCCTCCAGGCAGAAATCTGGCTGCAATCCTAGATTAGAGGTGGCATAACTCCCTGAGACCAGCAACTGCTCAAAGTCATTATGCAAGGCCCAGCTCCTTCTTTCTTGGCTTTTGTGCCTCAGATGATTCACAGGCATTAATTCATCACCTCAGGGGAACTGGCCTGACCCAAAAAGGCATCTGTGCCATCTTAATAGAGAGCATCTATGGCCTCACATACAACAAAACTTAGAGCGATAGTGCCTTCTTAGTTTGTGAGGGCTGCCATGACAAAATAGCACAGACTGAGGGAGCTTAAACAACAGACATTTGTTTTATCACAATTCTGGGAGCTAAAAGTCCAAGATCAAAGTGTTGTCAGGATTAATTTCATTCTATTTGGCTTATAGGTTGCTGTCTTCTCCCTGTGTCTTCATATCCTCTTTCCTCTGTGCATATCTATGTCCTAATTTCCTCTTGTTATAAGGATATAAGAACACCAGTCTTAATGGATTAGGGCCCAACCTAAAGACCTCATTTAACTTAATTACCCGTTAAAAGACCCTATCTCCAAATACAGTCATATTCTGAGGTAGTGTGGGTTAGGACAATCACTTGTGAATAGGTTTGAAGCACGGATATTGAACCTATTATCTGTCAGTGTCACATATACCTGAAAGCCAGTTTAAAATTGACTTCTCCAAAACAGCACACCGTGATCTAAATTGAATAAGTTACCAGTCATCTAACTCACTGAAAACTTGTGTGCATGTCTGCCCTGTCTGTGTACCTTGTGACCTTCTGGATGGCTGTGCAGTATTGTGAACAAAAGGGACCTCCACAGCTGTCCTCATCTGGCATGTTTTCCTTAAAACCGCAGGTGACCTTATCTAAATTAGAAGCTTTATTATTTTATTTTATTTTATTTTATTTATTTATTTAATTTTGAGACGGAGTCTTGCTCTGTTTCCCAGGCTGGAGTTCAGTGCACCATTTCGGCTCGCTGCAACCTCCGCCTCCCAGGTTCAAGCGATTCTTGTGCCTCACCCTCTCAAGTAGCTGGGATTACAGCACATGCTACCATGCCTGGCTAACTTTTTTGTATTTTTAGTAGAGATGGGGTTTCACCATGTTGGTCAGGCTGGTCCCAAACTCCTGACCTCAAGTGATCTGCTCGCCTCCACCTCTCAAAGTGCTGGAATTACAGGCATGAGCCACTGTGACCAACCAAAAGCTTTATTTTAGAATGAACACCTATTACTTGTGTTATAGTAAAAGTCATTCGTTACTTTTCTAATGTCAGGGCAATAATGATATGAGAATATCCACAGGAATTTAAGAAGAAGGCCAAGCAAGGTTAACAGCTACGTGACAGACATGTCATTCCTTGGTATGTTTACCAAGGAAGACCTTAATAAATAAAGCAACTACGTGAATGCTATTTTTTTTGTAAGATTCTTCTTCAGAATGGGAACTAACGCATGTGTGGCTGCTCGACTCCCCCCCGCCTAATGTGGGAGAAGGTAATTGGTGTCTCCTAGTGGAGTGACGAATATGTGGAGGTAAACAATAAGCAATTTTTGGCTGAAAATCTTAACTAAATGATCAAACTTTATGCTTACTAAATATCAAAAAGAGCTTTGCCCTTCCACCTCATTCTTCCAAATTCTGCTCGTTCTGCATCTTCTTGGCATCCCTTACTAGATAAGGTGAGAAAGGGCTGGATGCCTCTACCATCTTCTCCCCCTTACCCACAACTCCTTTCTTACAAGACCTATCTATCAATGAGCTGTATCAGCAGGACAGAGCTCCCAGGGGAAGACTGTTACTAATAACTGCTTGTTTATAGATTATCTTCCTTTCTTAAACAGGGCTTCTTTCATCAGAGAAGAAAATTATTACCTCGTCTGGTGTCCTCTGTCCTTCCCCAACTCCCCTCTAAATATATAACGTGGCAGGGGACAGCTCCTTCCTTTCAATCATGACCCATGATCTTCCCAGTATGCCCAGCTTTCCCTAGTTAAAGAATTTGTCAAGCTTTATTAACCAAATGAGCCAAAAATTCTGATTATAGTGGAGTCATTTTACTTATTTTTATATACAGTAAAAAACTCTGATAGTGTGGTAGCTTGCTTCTGAGTATTTTGATAGAAAGGTACATATATACATAAAACCACTTATTTTAAATTATCCACTCATGTTCTATTGGCTCATGTGAGTGAATAACAGATTTTAGAACTTTATGATCTGTTTAATTCTTTGTGAAAGCATCGCGTTCATTACATATTTTAGGATAATAATTAATGACAGTTATATCTTGCAAAAAGTATCAACAAAGTATTTCCATTTAGGGAAAAAAAATACAGCGCACTGAGAAGACAGAAAAACAGAAGAGCAGGCACTTAAGAGTCCCTGAAAGCAGATCTTAATATACCCAATAATGCATAAAGTACTGTTTGATTTCCAAGTTCTCAACTTTTGTTGCTGAACATCTGGAGCACATTCATAAAAGCACACTTTTTTTTCAGCTTTCTTCCCTCCTGAAAATAATGTAAATGAACTAATAACTTCCATGGATCAAATGTTCATGCATATGGTTGGACAAAATGGTTATATGAATAAATGTTGACATGAAAAATCTGTTGTCAATTCTGTGTAAGTGAACATCTGTCAATCGTGTAATATGTTAATAATACACAGTTAGAATAACTGGTTCACTCAGAACATTAGCAAAAATAAGGTAGAACCCTTAAACCCTAAGCAACTCATGCTAATTTGTCTAACAATGGCAATTAACCAACCACTGCAGTATTTTCTAATCTTGTACGTCTATTAATATTTGCTACAGGCTTACCAAAAGTCTTCTACTAAGGGTTTTGAGTATGGGTCATTTTTTTCAGGGTATATATAAGATATGGCACCTCTTTTGCAAAAACTTTAGAGTCTTGTTTAGAAACAGAGACATAGAAGAATTGGGCATATTTACACTGGAAATCCAAACAAAAATAAAGATGGACTTTTTTTTAAGAGAAACCCCATTGATAAGTCAAATGGGGCTAGAAATCTAAAAGTGAGTTTTGAAGAACTGAAAAAAAATAGGCTGCAAAAGATGAAAGGAAGGCTATCTCTGCAGAGGTGGCAGTGATTGTAGGGCAAAGTTTGGGTAGATAGCAGCTGGGAAATAAATAAGATTGTAAAATATCAGTGAAAGTAAATAAAATGAGACAGTAGGTGATCAAGTTTAAAGTTGTAATGTGTTGGAAAGAGGAAGGAAGAGCAAATGATGACTTTTTAAGATTCTACTTACAATATGGTGAGTCGTTGCCACAATATTTGCTTACCTAATCTAATTAGTCTTCTTTAATATAAAGAACATGGTGTTATTATAGTAAATTCTTAGGATGTTTTACAAATGCTAACCTCCTGGAAGGTATTTGTTCATTCACTATTAAGTACCTATTATGTGTCAAATACCATGTTATGCACTGAGATTATGCATTTATGACAAAGACATGAATCTTGACATAAACTTTACATTTCCAAGAGTATTAAGACCAGCATGTAAATATTCATAATAAAAAGTAAATTACTTTAAGGCTCACTAAAGTAATAAGTTATCTGGGAATGAAATTATGGAGAAATTAACTCTGGAAGTGGCAAGACAGTTATCTATGTCACTAAGATGCTGAACAGAAAAAATTCTGCCATCTGATTAATATTACTTGTAGTATGATAAAAAGAGACTTAGTATCCTGGACCCAGCATTCAATTTTTTTGTGTAACTTCAAGTAAGTTATTTAATATTTTTAGGTAGCACTTTCCCCATCTATAAAATAATATCCATACTAAGTCCTTTGCTGCGTGAGTAAACTGAGATAATTAATATATATCACTTACTCATTGACTAGCACTTGGAAGCCAACATTGACGGCTGATTTTTCAGATGCTCTCAACTTACTATGACTCAAACAAAGGAATAAGCTTGCTTTCTCTACTTCTTTGAAAAAATTATTTTCATATAAATGCTCAAGTGAAAAGTTTGTATTAGGATAAAAATTGTTTCCGCAGAGCTATTTGAGTTCTAAATCTAAATAATATTAAACAGAATTCAGAATTTACAATGTCATAAGCTTTATGGTCCCCATCCTGCTATTACCAG